>NC_000014.9:72793531-72945046 GCF_000001405.40 Homo sapiens | reverse complement strand
CACCACCTCAGCTTGCTGAAATCTCCGACTCCCAGGTTCAAGCTATTCTCCCACCTCAGCCTCCTGAGTAGCTGGGACTACAGGTGCGCACCACCACACCCAGCTGATTTTTGTATTTTTAGTAGAGATGTGGTTTCACAATGTTGGTCAGGCTGGTCTCGAACTCCTGACCTCAAGTGATCCTCCCATCTCAGCCTCCCAAAGTGCTGGGATTACAGGTGTGAGCCACCACACCTGGCCCTATTTTTTTCTCTTGAGACAGAGTCTTGATTGGTTGCCCAGGCTGGAGTGTGGTGGCACAATCATGGCTCACTGCATCTTTGATTTCCCAGGATCAAGTGATACTCCCACCATAGCCTCCCGAGTAGCTGGGACTATATGCACACACCACCATGCCCAGCTAATTTATATTTTTTTGTAGAGACGGGGTTTACCCACGTTGCCTAGGCTGGTCTCAAACTTTTGGGCTCAAGTGAACCACCTGCTGAGGCCTCCCAAAATGCTGGGATTACAGGCATGAACCACTGTGCCAGATGTGGGCTATTTTAAGCTTTTCTTTTCTCATTTTAAAACATGATGTGGTTAATTGCTATTTCAAAGCAAAAACTCCACATATTTATGTGTTTTGTATATATTAATAAATACAGACCCACACACGAGTTTGGACGTTGGTTTTGGTGAAACTGTACCAACGTTGTAAGTTTACTCAGGAAGAAGTTATGTTCCCAGAAGAATCATTGAGACTAGACTCAGATCTGAAAAACTGCTCTCCAGGTGCCAAGCCACTTTCTGGCCCTGCGGTCACACCGGCCAGCCAGAGTCACGGTAACTTTGGGTGATGGAGACGACCTACCACACGTAAAGCCTGGGTCAGGAGAGAGGAAGCATGAGGGTCGAGATGTCCAGGCTTGTGAACAGTGGCCTGTGCATCACCAGACCCCACACACCAATGACCCCCACCGTCCCCACCCACTTTACCCCAGGGAAGGGGCTGCTGAGGGGAACCAACCACAAGAGACGATTCTACTCATTCAGTCAAACCATACCCCCAAGCACACATGGAGAGAAAAGCCACATGGGAGAATGTGGGCCCGGTCCCCAACACCCCTTACATGGAAGGGCCCTGCTGTGGCGGTCTCCTGGGGCAGGAGGATGCAGTATCAACCTCCAGGGTCAATCTCTAGCATCGGCCTCCAGTCCCACCAGCAGATGACCGAGTCCAGATGCTCCTGCCTCTGTATCCTCCTCTCACTCTCCCTGGCTTTCCCTCAGCCTCCAGGAAGGATAGGGCTTGCCGGGCAGGCCCTGCTCTTACGTGGTCCATCGAAAGGTCAGGGACCTTTGTTTGCAGTGGTCCTTCTAGCTCTCTGCCAACCTTTCCCTGGCCCCTGGGTTTAAGCGGCTGACCTTGGCTTCCAGCTTGGGTCCAACCCAAACCAGAGAAGGCCTTTCACCCCCTGCAAATGATGTAATGGAGGTGTGTTGATGGGAGGTGCCACTGAAGCCAGGGGCGGCAAGCAAGGAGTCCTACCCTCTAGTGACCAAAGGCACACTGGGCTGCAGGTTTAGCCACCAAGTCCTGCCCCAGTTCAGGAAGAAGCAGATGTCCCCAGGTCCACTGTGAGCCTTTTTAATTGCATATACAACACAGCCAAGGAGAAGTTATTGTGTAAAGTTCAGTAGTCAAGGTGTGGCTGGGTCCAGACTCTGACGTTAAACGACGGAGCTGAAGTGGGGGGTGATGATGGTCGCCCCACAGCCTGCCTGCCAGCTCAGCGTCTCCCAGCGGGTAGCCAGCAGGCAGGTTAAAATCGTACAACCAAGAAGATGCCACCTACTTTCATTGCAGTTGGCTTCTCCAGAGCCAGGTTTGATGACTGGCAACGCTAAGCCACAAAGTGTCCAGAGGGTGGCAGCCACACCCTAGGCAGGTGTCCCCCTCCCACTCACCAGTATGAGGTTAAATCGGTCGCTTGCCAAGGCGGAGGGATCCATGCTTCGAATCTGGACCTTTTTCCTCTCCATGCAGCTGAGACGCAGCTCGTGGGCTAAACTGCAGAAACAGAGGGTGGGGGCATGGATGCTGAAGCTGACATCCATGAAGAAGATTCGGGGGTCTCTGGCCTTCCCTGCCCCGCTGACGCCCATCTCTCCTCGTCAGCCTGCTCCACAGTACTTCTCAGCAATGGAGCTGAGCAAGATCCCAGATTATCCGAATTTGAGTTTCCCCACAGAACGCTCAGGAAGATGAAAATGAAGAAGTGGGTGGCCCATTTGCAGAGTCAAAGAGTGGGAGTTAGAGGGAGTTGTGTCTGCATCATTCAGTACAGCTCCTTCCCCTGAGATGACGAAAGTGCGGGAGATGAAACAATGGTCTGGAGGGCACTCCGCTGCTGGGAAGAGCCCCAGGATACGGCTGCCGGGAAGAGCCCCAGGATACGGCCGCCTCTTGTTTCGCAGGGTGAGGAACAGATCTAACTAGATTTTTAACTTTCTGTCTCAGAAGGAGGAAAACAGGAGGGGCCTGCCCTGCCTGATACCTACGGTGTTTCTGGCCTTCCCTGAAGGGGCCCTGCTCCAAGGTCCGAGGGCTGTGCCCCAGGAAGCTGCCTCAAATGCAGGTTCTTCACTTGAGCATGTACAGTGGGGGCAGGAGACGCAGCGCTGGGCGCTCAGGTGTTGGAGTCAGACAGTTCCCCACTTCTAGCTTTACCTTGAGCAAATCACTCCACTCTGAGCCTCAGTCTCTTCTTCAGGAAATGGGGGAAAGTATCGGCCTATTTCACAGGGTTTTAGTTAGAATTGTATCAGCCATCATAAGTACTTTGATAAGGTTTAGTACACACACATCCACTTAATGCCCCATTGTTGGTGACAACTCATTAGAAGGGAAAGAAGGATGCAGAAATGTCATGGGAATGAAGTTGTAGGAGCTTCTACTAGAATGACTTACGAGTAACAGAGAATAGACATCTCTGCCTACGTCCCCATCCTCTCTCCCTATCCTCCTGCAAGAGTCCCCCGCCTTCGCTCTAGAGAGAACAGCTTTCTCAGGGTGGGTTTAAGCAGCAGAAGGCAGGGTGTGAACTGGAGCCCCTCAACTGTGCAGGTGCTTCACGGGGTAGCCACATGGTCTATCCAGACTGGATTCTTATACCATGAAAATAAGAAACAGGAAAAGAACATTCATGAAGAAAACATAACAAAGAGGCATTGTCTTACTGGCAGTAATTGGTGACGTTGAGAAAACCCAGCTGGCTTTTTCGTAGCATGGAAGATGCATTAAATCCCATCCTGGCAATCTATATTTATTACAAAAAAGAGAACAATTCAATGAAGATTTATTTGTTAGGGGATGATGGAGAATGTTTTTAGTTCCATAGGATGTAATGAAGGAAACAGGCACTAAATTGGCAGAAATTATATGCATAAAAATCTGACGGTGTCCTTTCCAAGTCTCCCTTCCTCGGCAAGAGGAAAGGCCCAGCAGAAGAAAGTGTGAGTGGGAAAGTCTGCTCGTCAACTCTGCCCACGCTCCCCATCCACATACACCCGGGGGGACGAAGCCACCAGGTGCGTGAGTGCAGCAATGGGACTGCAAACAGGTCTGCACCACTCTCCATTCCACCCGTGGTGACCCAGGGCTGGAACTTTACATTCCATTGCCTACCTTGACAACAAAATATGTTAGCGTCTAGACCTGTTGGTCTGTATTGCAAACAGACAAGATGGCCTGTATTCCAAACCATGCATCCTGGTCTTCTATTTAAAATAGACAGCTGGGATGGGCATGGTGGCTCACACCTCTAATCCCACACTTTGGGAGGCCAAGGTGGGCGGATTACTTGAGGCCAGGAGTTCGAGACCAGCCTGGCCAACATGGTGAAACTCCATCTCTATAAAAAAAATACAAAAATTAGCTGGGCATGGTGGCAGGTTCCTGTAATCCCAGCTACTTGGGAGGCTGAGGCAGGAGGATCACTTGAACCTGGGAGGCAGAGGTTGCAGTGAGCCGAGATGGCGCCACTGCACTCCAGCCTGGGCAACAGAGTGGGACCCTGTCTCAAAAAAACCCCAAAAAACAGTTACTAAAATTATATCACACTGCCTCCCAAGATTCCTTCAGGAATGACAAAATGTTAGAACTGCTGAAGAAGGCTGGGTGTGGTGGCTCACGCCTGTAATCCCAGCACTTTGGGAGGCTGAGGCAGGCAGATCACTTGAAGTCAGGAGTTCAAGACCAACCTGGCCAACATGGTGAAACCCTGTCTCTACTAAAAATAAAAAAATTAGCTGGGCATGGTGGCACGTGCCTGTAGTCCCAGCTACTCAGGAGGCTGAGGCAGGAGAATTGCTTGAATCTGGGAGGTGGAGGTTGCACTGAGCTGAGATCATGCCACTGTACTCCAGCCTGGGCAACAGAGTGAGATTCCGCCTCAAAAAAAAAAAAAAAAACAACTTATCGAACAAGAAAACGGGGATGGAAGAAGGGGGCTCTTGGCTGTTCTTATTCTTGTCTTCTTCCTGTCAGGGAAAAGCTAGGGCCACACCCCCTGAAGTGCCTCTGCTAAGTGTCGCAGGGGCATCTAATTGGCACCCTTTTCAACAGTGGATGGACAGGTGCTGGCAGGAGCGGAGAGGACAGGGGGCGAAGGGGTGAGGAGCCCACCTTTTTCCGTCTGTCTTCTTCCTGGAGCAGCCGCAGTCTCTTGCTCTCCATCTCCTTCTGCCGGATGCTCTCTTTCGTCAGGGGGTTGCAGTTGTTATGTCCAGGGAGCAAGCGGAAGTAGCGTTTCTTTTCAGGGTCAAAGTAAAACCCAGGTAGCTCTTTAGACAAAAAAATTAAATGCACCAATTTCAACCACTGTGAACTGACCACCTGAGTTGGGCGCCCAGTGGCCTGTCCCCCCACCTCGTGGCTGCCTGTCTTTTCTGAGGGCGGGGATGAGCTGCCTTGTCAGGCAACATCCTGGACTGTGCTCAGTCCTGGGGGAGGCGGTTTGCCTCATGACCACCATTCCTGACGCACCCAGCTCCTTCCCTGAGTGTTTCAATTTGCTCCTGGAATTCCTTCCAAGCCAGGAACGGGTCTCAGCCTTCCCTGTGTGCAAGGGCCAGGATTCCCACCCCGCAAGTGGCCTTACCTGGCACAGAGGAGGTCCCAGCTGTGCCAGACGAGGTTGACGGAGACTCGTCATCACCGTGGCCGGAATCGTGAGCGGGCTGTGCTGCCCGGGAGTCAGACCTGTTGACACACAGCTGTGTTAACTTGCAGCCCAGGACTTGAGTTCCAGCCATTCTGACGGGGGCAGGGAGTCCATTCGGGCAGTTCTGCAGCCTTCACCTCTGATCTCTGACCTTTCTGATTACTTGAGAAGCACTGATCCCCTCTTGCAAATACAACAAAATAGGGCAAGGTTTTGGTTTTTCATTCTTTTTTCTTTCTTTAAAAGAGGACAGATGTCACAGTGATTCCCTCTTCTTATCTTCTCACTCGCGCATTTTGTGAGGTCTTGTGGAATTTTCCAGATTAAAAGGAAAAATAGAAATCTCTGCCAATAAGAATTTTACCAGCTGGGCTCATTTGTCAGCACAACAGCAGTTACAAGGCTAGGTGAATTTCATTCTTTATTGGATTCAGTAGCACAAAGAGTTTAAATTTTACTTGACTACACAATCTTACAGACAGAGAAACTGGGGTTTGGGGGACAGAGGTGATTAGTTCAGTAACACTGGGATAGAGCTGCGGCTAAAACACTTGATTTGTAAATCCACAAGTAGCTTCTGAGGGAATTATAGGCTGAAGGATGTAGTAAAGGTGTGTGCCACCACACCCAGATAATTTTTATATTTTTAGTAGAGACGGAGTTTCGCCGTGTTGGCCAGACTGGTCTCAAACTCCTGACCTCAAGTGATCCGGCTGCCTTGGTCTCCCAAAGTGCTGGGATTACAGGCGTCAGCCACCACACCCGGCCCAGCCAACTTTATTTTAAAAATACATTTAATGTAGCCTTGGCCTGGGTGGTGGTTCAAGTCTGTAATCCCAGCACTTTGGGAGGCTGAGGCAGAAGGATCACTTGAGCTCAGGAGTTTGAGACCAGCCTGAGCAACAGAGTGAGACCTCATCTCTTAAATAAATAAATAAATGTAATGTAGCCTGGTGTACAGGGTTTTAAAGTCTACACTAGCATACAGTAATGTCCTAAGCCTTTGTGTTCACTCATCACTCACTCACTGACTTCCAGTCCCGCAAGCTCTGTTCACAGGAGTGTCATACATAGGTATACCATTTAAAAAAAAATCTTATATACCCTATTTTTACTGTATCTTTTCTATGTTGAGATACACAAATACCACTGTGTACTGACTGCCTCTAGCATTCAGTAGTCACATGCTGTACAGGTTTGCAGCCTCGGAGCAATTGGCTACACCATATAGCTTAGGTGTGTGTGGCTGGCTGTACCATGTAGGTTTGTGTTACGTATGTGCTATGATGTTTGCATGACACGACTGCCTAACAACATATTCCTCAGAATGCATTCCTCCTTGTTAAGCGAAGCATGAGTGTATATCCTTGTCCGAGACTTAGGCTGAATTAATAAAATTTGGTTTCCACAAAGGTATTTGCATAAAAAGTCTACAAAATGGAGAAACGGTTTTCCAGTTGTTTCAGATAACGTCTACCTCTAGCTTTATGGCGAATGCTCTGGCCAGAGGTCGTGGTCACTTAGGAAAGAACAGAGAGTGGTCCTCTCTCCTCACTACTCAGTGAGGTGGGCTGACCCACCAAAGCGACATGCCCTGGGAGCACGTTAGGAAGGCAGGCTCTCCTCAAGACCCCTCAGACCTACAGAATCAGAACCTGCATTGGGACGAGCCCCCAGGTGATCTCCACACCTGTGATCGTGTGACATGCCATGTGTACAATGCCAGAAGCACACTGGGCAAAAGTGGCTCCCCAGAGCGGCACACTTGCCTGTCTTCAGAATCACGGAGTCTGAACCAAGGGTTCTGCTGGTGGCTTCTTCTCCCATGTCGTCTTCTACTCTGCCAGCGACTTTTATTCATTTCTGTTCCTAAAAGAGAAAAACAAAAAAATCCATACATCTCTGTGTGTGGGCATGGGCTTTTCTGTTTGCTTCTTGGCAGCTGCTTCATGCTCAGCACCAGCAAAAGGCTGGCCCACCCTGGGTTATCATCAGATTTGCCACAGCAAGCCTTACCTGGGAAGGGCTGCCTCCAGCACTCCCCCAACATCCTTCCCACTTCCTTCCTGTTACCCTTAGTCGACCACATAGTTTCCTACCCCACAGAAACGTTGCCAGGTCGGCCAGGCGCGGTGGCTCATGCCTGTAATCCCAGCACTTTGGGAGGCCGAGGCAGGCGGATCACGAGGTCAGGAGTTCGAGACCAGCCTGACCAACATGGTGAAACCCCATCTCTACTAAAAATACAAAAATTAGCCGGGAGTTGTAACGTGCACCTGTAATCCCAGCTACTCAGGAGGCTGAGTCAGGAGAATCGCTTGAACCCGGGAGGTGGAGTTTACAGTGAGCTGAGATTGTGCTCACTGTAAACTGCACTCTAGCCTGGGCGACAGAGCAAGACACCATCTCAAAAAAAAAAAAAAAAAAAAGAAAAGAAAAATTGCCAGGCATGAAACCCCTAACTTCACTCCCTTCTGCTCCACAAATACCTGCCTTTACTAATTGTCTTCTTCCTTGTCTTGGACAACAGGTATCACTGCTCCTTTTCAAGGGAGACCCATCCCACCTGGCTGTTGATTTCATTCCTTCCCAGGAACTGCAGACATCTATCTGTTCCCCCATATGTTAATGTCTCCTTCTCCTTATCTCAGCTTTTAAAAACATGCCCAGGTTTTTCATTTGTAAGTGTTCCATTTCTAATCCAAAAAAATGGGCATATTCTGAAAGAATGGTCTACATCTACGAATTCAATGTCTTCATCTCCCGATATTCCTCAACCCACTGCAGTTGAGCTTCCTCTCTCCTCGCCTTTCTACTAAAATGCTCTTGCTATTGATTACCTACTTGCCAAAGTGAGTGGTCTCTTTTTAGCCCTTATTCCTGCAACATGTGGCACCAGGAGGCTACATTCTTCCTTTGGCTTCTGTAATATCTTTCTCTTGGTTTTCTTCTTGCTAAATAAATCCTTTGCTCATTTCTCCTGGGTCACACACCCTGTATGTGCTTTCCATTGTTCTGTCCTAGATCCTTTTCTTTTCAGACTTAACACCACCTCATCTACCAATGCAGATGCAGCTCCAACCCTAATATCGCTACTGAGCACCAAGTTCCTATGCTGCTTCGTGTCTATCTCCACAGACCCAACAGGTTCAAAAGTGAGTTCATGATTTCTCTCTAACCCCCGATCTGCTCTTTTGCCTGTCTATACCTCTCTTCTCTGAAAGCAATATCCCTGCCCCTGCAGCCCAAATGTGTGTGTATTTTTTTTTTTTTTTTGAGATGGAGTCTCGCTCTGTTGCCCAGGCTGGAGTGCAGTGGCGCCATCTCAGCTCACTGCAACCTCTGCCTCTCGGGTTCAAGCGATTCTCCTGCCTCAGCCTCCCGAGTAGCTGGGACTACAGGCACCTGCCACCACACCCAGCTAATTTTTGTATTTTTAGTAGAGATGGGGTTTCACCATGTTGGCCAGGCTGCTCAAGAACTCCTGGCTTCAAGTGATCTACCTGCCTCGTCCTCCCAAAGTGCTGGGATTACAGGCGTGGGCCACCAAGCCCGGCTCCAAAACTTTTATCTTATTCATTGTCCTAAACAATGGCTCCTGAACACCATGTGTGGGTTTCCCTATGGATCAGTTATCTTATACCCCAGCTAAAGAATACAGTTGTATTTATTAATAGTTAAGTTACAAGCTGAAAGGGACTGCGCACAGGAAGGGAAGCACGTGTGGCCAGTGTTAAGACTGGTAGGAAAATGGCTGCGTGCAGTAGCTCATGCCTGTAATCCCAGCACTTTTGGGAGGCTGAAGTGGGAGGATCTCTTGAGCCCAGAGTTTGAGACCAGCCTGGGCAATAGAGTGAGACCCCATCTCAAAAAGAGAAAAAGACTGATAGGAAAAATAAACTCTACTGACATAAAGATTATTATTATTACCAACTCTATAAAAAGGTCAAAATTTCTTTAGAGTGCATATTCTGTATATGAAATGATTCTAATTTGTTGAATTATGTAACAATGCATGAATACAGCAAAGAACACACGAACTGGTGAGTCAAAGACTTCAGATCACCCACAGGAGGCAGGACTGTGTCCCACTCACACCATTATTCTCAATAGGGGGCTGCACAATCAGCAGGACGCAGCCGATGATAAAATCACTGGCGAATGCCAATTTGGGCCAGGGAGAGCATGTGTTCACCCCTAACTCATACAGGCACTGCAATCTGGTAAGGGAGCCTGCCAACCTCAAGTAATATAGTTAGCAAGGTCAAGCAAAAATCATTTTAAAGGCCGGATGTGGTGGCTCACGCCTGTAATCCCAACACTTTGGGAGGCCGATGCGGGTGGATCACCTGAGGTCAGGAGTTTGAGATCAGCCTGGCCAACGTGGTGAAACCCCGTCTCTACTAAAAGTACAACAGTTCACTGGGTGTGGTGGCTGGTGCCTGTAATCCCGGTTACTTGGGAGGCTGAGGCAGGAGAATCGTTTGAACCCAGGTGGCGGAGGTTGCAGTGAGCTGAGATTGCACCACCGCACTCCAGCCTGGGCAAAAGGGTGAAACTCCGTCTCAAAAAAAAAAATCATTTAAAAAGTCACATACTAATAGAAGCCTTCCAAATACAGTAAGAGTTTAAAGGCTAGGACAAAGACAGTACCTTTCTAGTACTTTTAAGAAGCCTGTTCAGGGGTGGGGAGTGTGTCTTCTCTAAACACAAACACAGTTCATTCTCTATGGCCGCTTTATAGTCCATGTTTGCACTCATCACTCTGCATGACTGTTTGTTCATACTCCCATCTCATACTGGACGTGAGGTGAATTCTGTAAGGCAAACATCCTACTTTGTTCTTTTTTCTATTCCTAGCATCCATGACCTAGTTGGTGCTTAGTAAATTTTTGCTGAACTGAAGCAAAGCAAAACAAAACCTGTGGCTACTTTACATTTAAGTCCCAGGTAGCTTCTTTCTGCTCTGGGTTATTTCCACTTACTACTCCACACACATTTACAAAGCGCCCACTCCATGTGAGGCACTGGGGAGTGGGCAGAGATAATAAGCTGTGCTACCTGGCTTGGAGGCACCGATTGTTTAATATGGGAGACAGATGCACAGACCAACCCCTGCAGCACAGGATAAGGATGAAGACCCAGGTCTCTCCAGGTGTGGTGGGAGAGAAGGGAGTGACTGCTCCACATGCCTGGGCTGGAGGTGGGGGAGGGAGATAAGTGCAGTCTGAAGAATGAAAATGTCAGGCAAGCCCGGCGTGGTGGTTCACGCCTGTAATCCCAGCACTTTGGCAGACTGAGGTGGGCAGATCACCTGAGGTCAGCAGTTTGAGACCAGCCTGACCAACATGACGAAACCCCAACTCTACTAAAAATACAAAAATTAGGCCGGGTGCAGTGGCTCACACCTGTAATCCCAGCACTTTGGGAGGCCGAGACGGGTGGATCACCTGAGGTTGGGAGTTTGAGACCAGCCTGACCAACATGGAGAAACCCCGTCTCTACTAAAAATACAAAAATTAGCCAGGCATGGTAGTGGGCGCCTGCAATCCCCACTACTTGGGAGGCTGAGGCAGGAGAATCGCTTGAACCCGGGAGGTGGAGGTTGCCGTGAGCCGAGATAGCGCCATTGCACTCCAGCCTTGAGCAACAGAGCGAGACTCCGTCTCAAAAAAAAAAAAAAGAAAATGCCACGTAAGGCAGTGGGGGCGGGGGGCCTGCAGGCTGTTTGGTATGGCCAGAGCCTGAAGTTCAAGAAATGGGGGGGATGAGCCTGCAGAGGCAGACAGGGCATGATCATGAGGACTCTGGGTGTGCGAGGAGTGACATGATTAGAGCTGCTAAGAAAGGGCACCTGAAAGGCAGCGGCATGGGGTGACAAGTAAGAACTGCAGTGGCAAGCCAGGTGAGATGAACTCGCTTACACATTATGGACATGGTACTTGGGATAGCGGAGCCTGGATTTAGATTTAGGCAGCAAATTTCATGGGAGAGGTGGAGAGAGGAGTTGAGAAAGGTTAAGTGAATAACTGGTAGAGTCATGAGCAGGGAGACTAAGAATAAAGGAAGAACACTTTGGGGAGAGGAGAGTAAGTCTGATTTTGAACAAATCAATCTCAAGATGCAGGCAATGGGAAATACGGGTCTGAGAATACAGAGAGAAATTGAGCCTAAAGAGACAGATTTGAAAGTAAACAGGATATGGTGACATGGACTGGGACAAATGGCACCAAAGTGGTAATGGTATACAGTGAGAATTAGAGACTTTTTTTTTTTTTTTTGAGATGGAGTCTTGCTCTGTCACCCAGGCTGGAGTGCAATGGCACAATCTCGGCTCACTGCAACCTCTGCCTCCTGGGTTCAAGCGATTCTTCTGCCTCAGCCTCCCGAATAGCTGGGGCTACAGGCGCATGCCACCATGCCTGGCTCATTTTTGTATTTTTAGTAGAGATGTGGTTTCACCATAATGGCCAGGCTGGTCTCGAACTCCTGACCTTGTGATCTGCCCATCTCGGCCTCCCAAAGTGCTGGGATTACCGCACCTGGCCATTAGAGACAATTTTATCTAGTAATAATATAAAACCCAGTATGCATCACAGTTTGTAGATCAGTGCTTCTTAAGGATTATTTTGCCCACCAGGGGACATCTGGCAATGTCTGGAGACATTTTTGTTTGTCACAGCTCGGGAGAAGGAGGGGTAGGCTGCTACTAGCGCCTAGTGGGTAAAAGCCAGGGATGCTGCTAACCACCCTACAATGCGCAGGGCAGCTTCCACACATTCTTCAGCAAGAATTATCCAGGGCTGGGTGCAGTGGCTGATGCCTATAATCCCAGCTGCTCGGGAAGCCGAGGCAGGAGGATTGCTTGAGCCTAGGAGTTCAAGACCAGCCTGCGCAACATAGCAAGATCCCGTCTCAAACAAACAACATTAAAAAAAAGAAAGAAAGAAAGAAAGAAAAAAAAATTATTCAGCTGGGTGTGATGGCTCACACTTGCAGTTCCAACTGCTTGGGAGGCTGAGGTGGGAGGATGGCTTGAGTCCAGAGTTTGAGACCAGTGTGGGCAACATAGCAAGACTCCATCTCAAAAACAACAACAAAAGAGTTACCTGGCCCAAAACAGTGCTAAAGCTGAGAAAACCTGTTCTATGTAGGAAGCACTCGAAAACAATTTGCTGGTAACATGCTGCATCTAGCACCTTTGGAGCTGCTCTAGATGTTAAAATCAGGTGTGTTGCAGAAGGTTGGGCTTGCCTTTGTCTTTCAGAGAAACTTTTAAGTACCTCAAGGCATTAAGAATTATAATTTCTAAGAGACTACTATTCTGCAAAGGCAATGTTAATCACAAATAAACACAATTTGGTTTTTTGGAAAATGACTGGAAAATATTTATCAAGTAACTTACAAATGTACATGCCTTCCTTCTGGGAACTGCTCCTACAAAAATGATTCCAAGATATTTACTACATTTTTCCGAATCATTTTATAAGGCCAGTATTACCTTGTTACCAAAATCAGACAAAGATATAGGAAGAAAAATATAGGTCAAGGCCGGGTGCAGTGGCTCACGCCTGTAAGCCCAGCACTTTGGGAGGCCAAGGCAGGCAGATCGCCTGAGGTCAGGAGTTCAAGACCAGCCTGGCCAACATAGAGTGAAACCTCATCTCTACCAAAATACAAAAAATTAGTTAGGCGTGGTGGTGCACACCTGTAGTCTCAGCTACTTGGGAAGCTGAGGCAGGAGAATCGCTTGAACCTGGGAGGCAGAGGTTGCAGTGAGCCGAGATCATGCCACTGCACTCCCGCCTGGGCAACAGAGCAAGACTCCATCTCTCAAAAAAAAAAAAAAAAGAAGGAAAAATATAGGTCAGTATGGGTTATGAATACAGAGACACAAAAATCCTTAACAAAATGCTAGCAAGCAAAATCCAGGAGCATATAAAAAGAATTATATACCAAGACCAAGCGCGATTTATCTCAGAAATATAAGGTTGGTTCAACATATGAAAATCAATCAATATACCATACTAATAGATGGGGAAAACCTCACATGATTTTCTCAATTGATACACAGAAAAAGCACTGGACAAAATGCAACATCCTCTCATGATTAAAAAAACATTCAACATACTAGAAACAGAAGGTAGTTTCCTCAACCTGATAAGGAGCATCTACAAAATACCCACACCTAACATCATACTTAGTGGCCAAAGACAAAGTTTTCCCTCTATGGTCAGGAATAAGACAAAGATGTTGGTTCTCAATACATCTGTTCAACATTGTAGTGGAAGTTTTAGACAGGCAATTAGGCAAGACAAAGAAAAGGCAACCAAACATGATCTTATATACAGAAAATCCTAAAGAATCCACCAAAAATCTACTGGACCTCACAAATGAATTCAGCAAGGTTGCAGGATACAAGATCAATATAGAAAAACCAGTTGTATTTCTATACACTGGTTCAGGCAATGAACAGCCTGAATATGAAAGAAAAGTTACATTTACAATGGCATCAAAAAGAATAAAGCACTCCTCTGGTCCTGCTCAGGCTCAGTTACAAAAAAAAAAAAAAAAAAGAGAAAAAGTACTTAGGAATATATTTAACAAAATTAATATATGGCGTGTACACAGAAAACTATAAAACACTGTTGAAAGAAATTACAGATTGAATGCAATCCCTATCAAAATTCCAAATGCCATTTTTTTAGCAATGGAAAAGCAGATCCTAAATTCATATTATGCAAGGGACCCAGAATACCCAAAATCATCTTGAAAAAGAACAAAGTTGGGATGACTCGCACCTCGCAATTTCAAAATTCATTACACAGCTACAGTAATCAAGACACTGTGTTACTGGCATATGGATAGAAATATAGATCAATGGAGTAGCATTGAGACCAGAAATAAACCCATATGCCTATCTATGGTCAACTGGTTTTCATCTAGGTGCCAAGACCATTCAATGAAAGAAAGAAGTGTCTTTTCAACTGCTGGGACATTTGAATATCAAACTGCAAAAGAATGAATTTGGATCCTTACTTCATACCATATGGGACAAAAATGAACCAAAATGGATCTCGATCTAAAACTATAAAACTCTTTGAAGGAAACAAAGGTATAAATCATCATGATCTTGATTAGGCAATGATTTCTCAAATATGACACCCAAAACTCACACACACTACATATATATATATACACACACACATACACACATAAATTGGGCTTCATCAAAATTGAAAACTTCCGTGCATCGAAAGACATTATTTAGGGCCGGACACAGTGGCTCACGCCTGTAATCCCAGCACTTTGGGAGGCTGGGACTGGCGGATCACTTGAGGACAGCAGTTCAAGCCCAGCCTGATAAACATGGCGAAGCCCCGTCTCTACTAAAAATACAAAAATCAGCTCGGTGTGGTGGCGGGCGCCTGTGGTCCCAGCTATTTGGGAGGCTGAGCCAGAACAATCGCTTGAACCCGGGAGGTGGAGGCTGCAGTGAGCCGAGATGGTGCCACTGCATTGCAGCCTGGGCGACAAGAGCGAAACTCCGTCTCAAAAACAAACAAAAAAAACTCCGTCTCAAAAAAAAAAAAGAAAAAGCTACACAAATAGCCAACTGGCACATGAAAAGATACCCAACATCATTAGTCCTTAGGTAGATGCAAATCAAAACCACAGTGAGATACCACTTTATTTATTTAATTTTATTTACTTATTCCCTCCTACCCCCCTTTTGGCTGAAGTGCAGTGGCGCGATCTCCGCTCCCGGCAACCTCCATCTCCCCGGCTCAAGCCGTCCTCCTGCCTCAACCTCGGAGTAGCCGGAATTACAGGCACGAGCCACAACACCAGGCTAATTTAAAAAATATTTTTGGCCTTCCGCCACGGCCGCCATGGAGAGCAGCAGCCATGGCTCTGCGCTACCTTATGGCCGTGGGCCTCAACAAGGGCCACAAGGTGACCAAGAACGTGAGCAAGCCCAGGCACAGCCGCCGCCGCGGGCGTCTGAGCAAACGCACCAAGTTTGTAGCGGGACATGATCCGGGAGGTGTGTGGCTTCGCTTCGTACGAGCTGCGCGCCATGGAGTCACTGAAGGTCTTCAAGGAGAAATGGGCCCTCAAGTTCATCAAGAAAAGGGTGGGGACGCACATCCGTGCCAAGAGGAAGCGGGAGGAGCTGAGCAAGGTACTGGCTGCCATGAGGAAAGCCGCTGCCAAGAAAGACTGAGCCCCCTCCCCTGCCCTCTTCCTGAAATAAAGAACAGCTTGACGGAAAAATAAAATAAAAATAAAAAATATTTTTGTAGAGACGGGGTCTCGCTTTGTTGCCGCCCAGGCTGGTCTCGAATTTCTGGCCTCCAGCGATCCTCCTGCCTTGGCGCAGCGTTGGGATGACAGGCGTGAGCCACCACGCGCGGCAGCAAATCTGAGATTTAACACAGAGAGCCAGTATGTGCCCAGCGTATGTGTATGTAGTGCACAGAATATGTGGACCACCCTCTATAAAGGTTCATGCATGAGGAGGTCGGCTCTCTCTCACAGTCTAGCAGTTTTCCACACAAAAGCGGCACACATTTTTGCACCGGTCTCCAAAATGGTGTCTGGTTTGGGAGCCCGCAGCTTCCGGAATTACAGGCTCTTTCCTGCTTCCAGGGCACCATTCCAGGCCTGGCCTCAATAGGCCCAAGGCGCAGGCCCAGAGGAGGCCGGGCGGGGTGGGGGGCGGGGTGCGCTACACCCAGTAGGGAGCAGCCCCGGGCGTCCGTGCCGCCCGCAGTGCTGGGACGCCCAACACCGACCAGCCCCGGAGCCAAGTGTGGGGGATGGCAGCCCGCACACATCGGGGCTGGCCTCGCCTCCCCTGGGAGGTAGGCTTGACAGCACAGGGGGTCGGTCCAGCCTTAGCACGGGGCCAAAACTCAGAATGGGGGAGGGGCTCCATCTCCCCTTGGGGCTCTCCAGTTTGGGGGCCTCGGGGCTGTTCTGGTTTCCAGGCTGAGCCTCACCATCTTGTTTAGCACATGGTTAGGGGGCCTGGACTGGAGCCCAACAACCGGGGCTCTGAGACTGGGGCACCCTGGGGCCGCGGGGTTGCTTCTTGGGTGGATGAGAATGTTCCAGAATTAGACAGTGGTGATGGTTGCACAATCTTGCCAATATAATAATAAAAAAACCCACTGGATTGAACCCTTTTAAAAAAGTTAATTTTAGGGTATGTGAACTATATATATATATATATATATATATATATATAAAGGATGTTTACTACACCATGCTGTAATAGTTAAAGTGAGAAACATCCTAGATATCCAACAACAGGGGAATTTTGTAAGAGTCTGTAGACTGGCCGGGCGCGGTGGCTCATGCCTGTAATCCCAGCACTTTGGGAGGCCGAGGCGGGCGGATCACGAGGTCGGCAGATATGTGAGACCATCCTGGCCAACATGGTGAAAACCTGTCTCTACTAAAATACAAAAAGTTAGCCGGGCGCGGTGGCGTGCGCCCGTAGTCTCAGCTACTCGGGAGGCTGAAGCAGGAGAATCCCTTAAACCTGGGAGGCGGAGGTTGCGGTGAGCCGAGATCGCGCCACTGTGCTCCAGCCTGGGCAACAATAGTGAAATTCCGTATCAAAAAAAAAAAAAAAAAAAAAAAGTGGGGGGATTCTGTAGACTAGCGGGCTGTAATGTGCAAAACGCTAACGCCACTGGTCTGTAAAGCTGAATACAAAGTAGCTTCTACAGGCCAGGGCGGTGGCTCACGCCTCTAATCCCAGCACTTTGGGAGGCTGAGGTGGGAGGATAGCTTGAGCCCAGGAGTTCAAGACCAGCCTGGGCAACATAGTGAGACACCCCTCCGCCCCATCTTAACAAATAATTTAAAAATTAGCCGGGTGTGGTGGTGCATGCCTATAATCCCAGCAGTTAGGAGTTGTTCACTGTAAAACAACATTTTAGACAGCTGACTTAAAAAACAACAAAATTTTCTCTTAACACTTATTTAAGAAATACTTCAGGCGCAAGCTTTGTACTAACGCCCACCCTGAGTTGGTATTTTCAATCCTATTTTACAAATGAGGAAACAGGCTTACAGGACTAGGTACCACACCCAGCGTAAGTTAAATGGTGGAACAGGGATTCCACCTCTGTTGGTAGGACCCCCAGGCCTGGTTACCCACAGAACACCACCTCAGGCCGGGCGCGGTGGCTCACGCCTGTAATCCCAGCACTTTGGGAGGCCGAGGCGGGCGGATCACGAGGTCAGGAGATCGAGACCATCCTGGCTAACACGGTGAAACCCCGTCTCTACTAAAAATACAAAAAATTAGCCGGGCGAGGTGGTGGTCGCCTGTAGCCCCAGCTACGCGGGAAGCTGAGGCAGGAGAATGGCGTGAACCCCGGGGGCGGAGGCTGCAGTGAGTCGAGATCGTGCCACTGCACTCCAGCCTGGGCGACAGCGAGACTCCGCCTCAAAAAAAAAAAAAAAAAAAAAAAAAAAAGAACACCACCGCGACTCTAATTTCCATCGTTATTTAAAATCAGAGTTTGGGACTTTGGAATTGTTTCCTCTAGGAAGCCGTCCCCTCAGTTTTCTTTGCTTCTGGCTGCGCTGCTGGAGTCACAAGACAATGCCTGTAGAACACCATGGTGAAAGGCGTCATGGTTTCTGAAGCCCCCGGGGAGCCCACGAGGCGTGGCTTTCTCGCTAACTCACAACTCAGAGTGGAGGCGAGGGCCAAACCCAGGCCCCATCACTTGCTAGTTGTGCGCTACCCCGACGGACAACCAAACTGCACCCCTTTCTGCGTCTGACAAGGACATCATAGCGCTGGCAAATGTTAGCGCCTGTGAAGCCGGCAGCACAGAGCCGGCCACTTCGTAAGCTTCAACCACACCTAACCTGTTATGCTGACCTGAACATTCACAGGGGACACCGCCCCAAGGCCCGCAGCCCAGCCCCCGCCAGGTGTCGGGTGGGGCCTTCAGCAGCAGGTCTCAGAGAAGCGCTTAGAGAAACGCCCTCAGCGGCGACACTCGGGGTGCCCTCCCTGCGTGTTTACGGTTGCAGCACTGATCCGGCCGGAGGGCCCCACGCGCCCCAGAACGGGCGGAGCGCGCCGGCCCAGCTGCCACCTAGGCCCGGTGGCGCCGGCGTTCCACGTGCTCACTCCTCCCCGCCCCTCCCCGCCCCTTTCCCTGGCCTTCCTCGCCGCGCCTGTCTCCCACCCCGAGCTCTGCAGCGGGAGCGCGGCAGCCCTCGAATCGATGCCAGTAGGCACCCCAGGCAGCACAGTCTTACCTGTTCAGCGTGTCCCTTCCGGATTCCCCTCCGGCTCAGCTCTGCAGGAGTTGGAGCGAAGCGTGCAAGGACCCGGAAAGACCAAGGTGTAGCGTCAGCCAGTTAGGTGGATGCGTTTTGGTGTTGTAGCAGCCGATAGGGCTATAGCGGCCGTTCTTTCCTTCTCACTGGACGCGGCTTCTGTCTGTCGACGTCAATAGGGACGATCTCATGAAGAAGGCGGGGAGTGGGGCTTCGGCTCCTCCCAGGCCTGGCCTGTCTGGGGCGGATGCACGTGGAGGCTGGTCATGGAGCGCTTGGGGGTGGGGCCAGGCGCACGCGGGGGCGGGGCCGGGGGCTGCTCCCGGAGCAGCGGAACTGTCTGGAGACCCTTTCGTGAGAGACCGTGTCTTCCTCCCTCCGCAGGGTGATGCGGCCCTGGAGAAGTCCTCTCGCTGTAGTGGAAAGAGCGAAGGAGTCTGTGAGGCGAGGGACAGAAGTAACGTGATGTTACGACTGGCGGCGAAGTCTTCGGCAGTGGCCTCAGGCGGCCGAGGCCGCTGCCCTGGGTCTGCGTTCAGGGTGTAGCGTAGCGAGCCCTGACCGTGAAACCGGGGGGCCTCCGTGTTGGCTCCAGTACTGCTGCTTGCTGTGGGACCTAGGGCGAGTCTCTTCCCTTCTCTGTGCCTTGATTTCTTCTGTTGAGAGAAGGAATCGGATCTATCATTCTCATGTCCTCTCCAGCTTAGAGTTTGTTCAGACCACCAATATTTCTAGAATGACCTATGTGTGCTGTGCCTGTCCCAGGTATCAGCTGACGGTTATGAGATCTTATGAAAGGAAAACGGAAGCCTCTGATGGGCTTGTGTCCCGAAGAGACAGTTTGTGAGGACAGCTGGATTCACAGAGGCTAGGCTTGTTGGGGTCCAGCAGTAGGCCTGGTGTGTCATGCGGCTCCGTAACACAGGCCCCTGCCCGCGGCTTGGACCCGTTAGAAAGCAGGCGGTGGGGTTCACCCATTGCACGCCGTGCGAAGGCATTTCAGCTCTTAACCAGGAAGCTAGGATTTCAGGCTAAACTCCTGGCTCTCAGGAGTTTATAGATAAATGCAGTATGTGGAGCGGGGCCGGGTGATGAGGGAAATGAGAGAAGTGGGCATAGTCAGAATAAAGAACCGCTTCATGAAGCTTGAGCGGCCTTGAAGAGAAGGCAGAGAAAAATTCTAGCTGAACAAACAACGTGACTGGAGGCCGGTTCAAGCCGGCTGGATGGGAGGGGAGTCTTGGAAGGAAAACTCAGCAGGGTGGGTTGGGGCTTGGTGACGCAGCAATTGCCAGGGAAAGAGTAGTCAGGCCGGGTGCAGTGGCTCACGCCTGAAATCCCAGCACATTGGGAGGTTGAGGCGGGTGGATCACTTGAGGCTAGGAGTTCCAGACCAGCCTGGCCAACATGGCGAAACCCCCAACTCTACTAAAAATACAAAAAATTAGCCGGGCGTGGTGGCGGGCGCCTGTAATCCCAGCTACTCAGGAGGCTGAGGCAGGAGAATTGCTTGAACCCGGGAGGCGGGGGTTGCAGTGAGCCGAGATAGCGCCATTGCACTCCAGCCTGGGTGACAGAGTGAGACCCTGTCTCAAGAAAAAAAAAAGTAGACAATGGGAGGCTCTGAGGGTTCTAGAGTTGGGAAGTGACAGGACTAGAGCTGTGCTTCTGGGAAATCACCGTGTAGGGGGTTGGGGAGAAAAGATTGTGGAAGTCAGCTGGGAGACCCCTAAGGAACTTATTGCAGCAACAGTCCTTGTGAAAGGTAGTGAGGGCCAAACCAGGGTGGGGGTAGCCAGGATGGAAGGGGGGTACAGATGGGAGGCAGAATTCAGAGGGAGAATCGGCCAGACTTAACTCTCGGGGAGGAGTCAAGCTGGATTTTCCACTGAAGAGCCAGGGGACACTTGAGGAAGGTGGCAGGAGGAGTTGGCTTGGGCTTGCTGAGTCAATGAGTGGCTGGCAGCCGGCCAGCAGGCTCTGTTGAATGTCCACAGAGGGGACAGTGACGTGGGCATGAGATATACCTCGGGGACCTGCAACACACACAGATGAAAGATTAAAGAATGTTTGCAAATCAGTGAACAAATGAAGCTTGCTGGGCCTTGGGCAAGTCATGAGGCATTCCAACCTCAGTTTCTTCACAGATTAGAATGAGGATAAGACATCTACTGAGAAAGGTTGTAAGGAGTAAGCGCTGATGATGGAGTACCTCACCCAGGACTTGGTGCACAGCGCCCATTGGTTAAGCACCCGCGATTATAAAGGTAGCATGGTATCTAGATGGTGTATATTACCTTCAAAAGTAAAAATTATTTTTTCATTTCATCTCCAGAATTTGAAGCCAAGGCAAATGTTGTAATGAAAAGGAATGAATCTATAGAAAGAGGTTGGAAAATATCTGGCACATGGCAAAGACTAAAACAATATATATATATTTTTTGTCTGTTTTGAGATGGAGTCTCACTCTGTTGCCAGGCTGGAGTACAGTGGCGTGATCTCGGCTCACTGCAACCTCTGCCTCCCAGGTTCAAGCTATTCTCCTGCCTCAGCCTCCCAAGTAGCTGAGATTACAGGCGCCCTCCACCATGCCTGGCTAATTTTTTGTATTTTTAGTAGAGATGGGCTTTTGCCATGTTGGCCAGGCTGGTCTTGAAATCCTGACCTCAGGTGATCTGCCCGCCTTGGCCTCCCAAAGTGCTGGGATTACAGGCGTGAACCACTGCACCCGGCCTTCAAATACTAGATCTTATTCATTCTTTCAAACTATGTTTTTGTACCCATTAGCCATCCCCACATCCTCCCATCCCCCAAAATATAAAATTTAAATGTTAATTTAAACAAATCAACATTTGTTTAAATCAACTGCAGAAGTTGTCCTTTTAAAAAAAGAAAAAACAGGCTGGGCGTGGTGGGTCATGCCTGTAATCCCAGCACTTTGGGAGGGAGAGGTGGGTGGATCATGAGGTCAGGAGATCGAGACCATCCTGGCTAACATGGTGAAACCCCATCTCTACTAAAAATACAAAAAATTAGCCAGGCGTGGTGGCGGGCGCCTGTAGTCCCAGCTACTCGGGAGGCTGAGGCAGGAGAATGGCGTGAACCCAGGAGGCGGAGCTTTCAGTGAGCAGAGATCGTGCCACTGCACTTCAGCCTGGGCAACAGAGCAAGACTCCATCTCAAAAATAAAAAAAAAAAAAATAAAAAAACACTTTTTTTTCTTATAGAGATAGGGTCTTACTATATTGCCCAGCCTGGTCTCAAACTCCTGGGCTCAAGTGATCCTCCTGCCTCAGCCTCCTGAAGTATTGGAATTACAGGCGTGAACCACTGCACCCAGCAGGAGTTGGCTATTTTAAGAGGTGACTTGTACGTAAGTTGCCACAGGAACTAGGATGCCTGTCAAATCACATCATGGAGACTAATCCAAAATAAAATCAATGCAAGAGAAATGTAATTAAATTAACATGCCCATTGTGGGGTAACAGTCCATCCAGGGCCTAGAAAAAGGATCATTTTCATCAGAATTTCTCAGTGTTTTTTCAGTAGTATCCAAGTGAGTGTCTTGGTCACTGAAAATCTTAATCTTTTTTTTTTTTGAGATGGAGTTTTGCTCTTGTTGCCCAAGCTGGAGTGCAATGGCATGATCTTGGCTCACTGCAACCTTCGCCTCCTGAGTTCAAGTGATTCTCCTGCCTCAGCCTCCCGAGTAGCTGGGACTACAGGCATGTGCCACCACGCCCGGCTAATTTTGTGTTTTTAGTAGAGATGGGGTTTCTCCATGTTGGTCAGGCTGGTCTCGAACTCCCAAACTCAGGTGATCCGCCCGCCTCAGCCTCCCAAAGTGCTGGGATTACAAGCGTGAGCCACTGCATCTGGCTGGTCACTGAAAATCTTGATATAGAACAATTCCCTAGTTCATTTCCTTTTTTTTTTTTTTGAGATGGAGTCTTGCTCTGTTGCCCAGGCTGGAGTGCAATGGCGCCGTCTCGGCTCACTGCAACCTCTGCTTGCTGGGTTCAAGTAATTCTCCTGCCTCAGCCTCCCGAATAGCTGGGATTACAGGCTCCCGCCACCACGCCCAGCTAATTTTTGTATTTTTAGTACAGCCAGAGTTTCACCATGTTAGTCAGGCTGGTCTTGAACTCCTGACCTCAGGTGATCCACCCGCCTTGGCCTCCCAAAGTGCTGGAATTACAGGCGTGAACCATCGCGCCCTAGCCTCTAGTTCCTTTGCTAACCTAATGAAATACCCAACAAAATTCTCTACACCTCTTTGTATGATTACGTATTCACCAAACTGCTGATGACTGACTCCATTATCATGATTTTGGAAAAGAGGGAGCCGTGGGTAATGGGCAAGAATATTCTAGACATCAGGAAGTTACATGTCTCAATAATTAACTGATCATATTCGTATTCTGTGTACTTGGGTAGACAAGCAGTTTCCAAGGATCTGGTCCCAATAACTTAATACACAAAATGTTGAAACCCATAAATCTGGGGACAAGATTTTGCCTCTAAAATACTAGTCTTAGCTGGTTAGCAGCCTGACCAATATAACAGTTAATAATGCATAATAATCTAAGAAAACTTGAGAAGCAGAAAAGCACAAAGTGAAAAAATACCCAAATTACCTGTGATAAATCTATCCCTCCAAAAAAACCACTGTTAATATTTGGATGTGTTTTTTCTAAGCATGTGTTTGTTCTAACTGTTTATATCTTTCAGTTATTAATTCAACAAATATTTATTGAGCACTTGGAATGCCAGATCTGTTCTAGGTGCTGGGAATGTAAGTACATTTTAAGAAAATTGTTTTTGAAAACAATCACAAACTAATAGAAAACTTCCAACTACAGAATTTTTCTTTTTCTTTTCCTGAGGGTAACCACTGACTTGATGTGTCATCAGTCTGGAATACTTTTAGTTTGTATTTCTTACAGACATAGGCATTCTCCTATGTATCCAAAGCATAGCCATCAAAACTGAAAAATTGACATTGATATACCACTGTCACCTAATCTTCAGCTCCATTCAATTTAATTCAATTGAATTTAATCTCCATGTCATAGAAATTGGTATTTAGAAGCCAAGACCTGAATGCTAAGTGTGCTTATTGCTATTACGGTATCCCTGTTCCAAGGCACTCTTCATGGTTACAGTTGGGAACACACACTCACACACTCCCACACTCACTGTGACATCTATATTTATTTGTACATCTATCAGTTTACCCACCTATCTTGAAAACCATGAGTTTACACCAGTATCTCCAATTCCAATCCATCATATAGGGCTGATTCTAGTTTTCTCCCTTTCTGTATTTGTAGCTTCCTTCTCCAGCAGTGAGGTTCTCATTATTTTTATTTACTTGTTTGATCAATCCCTTTGTAGGTAGACATCTCCTCTCTCTGCCCCCACCCCCTACCCAATACAGATGTCCTTCTTCCCCACTCAGGCTCTGGGAACCTGTGCTGGGAAACCCTGTACCCTTTACGCACGAGGAAGCCTTCCCTAGTCTTCCTGGGCTCCAACATTCCATGTGTGGATACAATTTTGAATAAGACAGACAAATTCCTTCCTTTCAAAGAGCTTACATTCAAGTGGGGAGGGGGACAGATAAATAAAAATAAAAAGGCCAGGTGCGGTGGCTCATGCCTGTCATCCCAGCACTTTGGAAGGCCAAGGAAGGTGGATCACCTGAGGCTGGGAGTTCGAGACCAGCCTGACCAACATGGAGAAACTCCATCTCTACTAAAAATACAAAATTAGCTGGGTGTGGTGGCACATGCTTGTAATCCCAGCTACTTGGGAGGCTGAGGCAGGAGAATTGCTTGAACCCAGGAGGTGGAGGTTGCAGTGAGCCAAGATGGCACCATTGCACTCCAACCTGGGCAACAAGAGCGAAACTCTGTCTCAAAAAAAAAAAAATAAAATAAAATAAAATAAAATAAAAATAATGGTAAGTACAATGACAAGACAAGATGATGTGATAAGAAGTGACTGGGGGCTACTTTGGGTCAGGTGATGTGACTATTCTCTTTTTGCTCCCTTGTCCCCCATCTACTCTTCATCCTTCTTTGGGCTGCTCTGTGCATATCTACAAAATGGATTACCTAGACTCCTTTGCTGCCAGCCTTCTAGTTGAGTTCAACCAGTGAGAGACACCAGTAGTAGATAGGTGGGTGGGTGGGTGGAGAGAGAAATGAGGATTTTGCTTGCTCCTTCCCTGCTTGGGAATGTTTTCTGGCCCCTGGTCCAGGCGCCAGAAATTTCATTTCCTCCCCTTGCTCCTTTGAGCCTCCTGGTGGTCATAGCTTCCTACTCTTGCTAGCCCCTGGGTGCCCCAGTGGTCTTATTTCTCTTCATCTTGCCTAAACTGTTAATAGTTCTTTTGAATCATCTCAGTCGGATTCTGTTTCAGAAAAGGGCTCTTTAAGGTAATTACTTTTTTGTGGTGTTTAAACAGTATATTATGAATAATGTTTTTTTGAGGCCAATAAGTATTCTTATACAATGTGATTTTCAAAAGTGCAGTCTGATTAGTCAAGACAGGTCACTATTTAGCCAGGCGTATCTTTCTGGATCTGAGTGCAGAATGGATTTCCTTCTCATCCTGTCCTGGCCTGATGGCTAAATATCTTAAATTGTGCATTAAAGAGAGAGCATGGGGCCAGGCGTGGTGGCTCACGCCTGTGACTCCAGCACTTTGGGAGGCTGAAGTGGGCAGATCACTTGAGACTAGGAGTTCGAGAGCAGCCTGGCCAACACGGCGAAACCCCATCTTTACTAAAAATACAAAAAATTAAGTGGGCATGGTGGCACACTCCTGTAGTCCCAGCTACTTGCGAGGCTGAGGCAGGAAAATCGCTTGAACCTGGGAGGTGGAGGTTGCAGTGAGCTGAGATCATACCACTGCACTCCAGCCTGGGCAACAGAGCAAAAAAAAAAAAAAAGAAAAAAAAAAGAGCATGTTGTGGTGACTCTACCTCCCCAGGCATCTAGATTACACAAATAACAGAGTTTGTGGCTTATTTATGGTATAGAACTGTATTTCTTTCAGCAGGATTCATCCTTAGCTGTTAATTCCTCCACTCCTTGCCATGGAGAGGGGGTCTTGGTCTTAGAAATCAATGAAGCCTTTTCTTGGACACACAGACAAGCCATTCCAGGGGATGGTGTCAAGAATGGTGCTTTCATTTGGAGGATTCCTAAAATAATTTTTATAGCTTTTTTCCCCCTCTGTGTTAAACATTTGCAAATTTGGGGGTCTTCTTCCAAGGAGAGTCTAGACTAGAGAATGAGGAGGGGCTCAGAGGAAGAGTACCTCGCTGGAGCTTCCATGAGCATCATTCCTGACCTCAGCAAGATAAAATAACATAAAAGGATGGGCATTGTTTCCCGTGACTGACTTTATTGGTGTCAACAGCTTTATAAACATAGAAAGCTATAGATTGAGAGAAGGGGGGAAATCAAGCAGAATGAGAACAGGAAAAAAAAAACAAAAAAACTTGAGGCATGCAATTGTTCGAAATCTTACTGCCTCCCTGGTTTCTTCTGCATTTGAATTTCTGTTGAACACTGATAGGAGGATTCCCTTTAGGGGACACGAGGAAGGGAATTGGGAAGAATTCGGCTTCCGTTTAGCCCTAGGAAACTACAGAAGGACTTGAAGCCAAACTGAATTAATCAAGAAACTGTATGTGTGTGTGCCTCAGGAGACTTCCTGAAAATCGGATGAGAATGTTGTTCTTGGCCCCAGGAGAGAGGCATAGGGACTTTGAGGGCATGAATTTTTCTGTTGTGTTTTCTGGGATCACATCTGTACAAAATCAGGTAAGCCAAGAAAGTAAGCAGCCTCTTCAGCCCCAAATTGTGTGCCCCCCTAATCTCTCAGGTGAGTCAACACCCTTGGGGCCACATGCTTTCATAAATCAATTTATTCCTTGTTCTGTCCCAAATTTGAGGACATAGTCCCCTGTTATGCATTAAAGGAGATAATTTGAAGCACTGTAACCTCATCCTTCCAGATTAGAAAAGTGTTGTACCATGGGTAAATGAGACAACCTATTTGGAAGTGTTTTGCATACTGGAAGGAAGACACTTTATATAATTGTAATTATTGTTAACCATTACCCAAAATACAGCCTGGTGGTCCAGACTGCATGCTGTGGAGGCACTTGGCCTGTGTTTGAATTCCTGTTCCTTTGCAGTTTAACTGTGTGACCTTGGGCATGTTACTTGACCTCTCTGGATCTGAATACAGAATGGATTACCTTCTTATCCTGTCCTGGGTTTCTCCAGGACAGCCTCAGTTTTCCCATCTGAAAAATGAGGAACCCACCTCAGTGTGAGGATTAAATGTACTGGGATTATACAAAGATGTAGAATAACGCCTGACCCACAGTGAGCGCTTGAGGACACAGTGAATTGGGACCCATAAGGATGCATGATAACCTTCTTCCACAGACATAGTGAGAATCCCAGCAGCTTGGCTGTAAAAGCTGGGAAAGTAAAGGAGAATGCAGAGGAGGGTTTTCCAGGCATCTGTTTTCCCATTCTGAGGCATGGGTATGATTTCTCTACTCCCCAGAGGAAGCAGCTCTTTGAGACAAGGGTAAGATTCAGCCACGGTGTGTTGCTGTTGTAGAAGCTTTAACCACCTCAGCTTACAGCAGAGGTTTCAGCAAAATAAGCTTCTCTTTCTATAAATGGCTTCTTCTCATCGCATCTCTGTGGACAGTGTCTAATGGTGGGATTGGCTCATTTTCTGGAACCAAATAAACATTTGTTCCCACTAGCCCCATAGTGCTAGCACCACTATTAATGAGCGGCAATGTTGTCCATTGCTGCAGGAGTCATTAGGGAAGCCCTGGTAGAGCTCTGTTTATTACCACGGGAGGTGTCAGAGGCAGAGAAAGCACAGCTGGGGCTTCCAGGCTCCAGCAGATCACGCAGCGCAGGCAGCCAGAGCCATCATTCTTAGACTTGTGAAGTCAGGACATAAATTCCAAGAGGAATAAGAATGGGTAAGATAAAGGAGTTGGGGTCTATGATTCAGAGTCATTTTTCAGATTTCTGAAATTTCAAATAAGTTAAGGTTAGATCGTGGCACAATTTAAAGCACACTTCTTAAGGGGGTCGCAATTTGAGCAATGCCTTATTAAGGAACAAGCTAAGCTCTGAGCTGGTTTCTTTGTCAGTGATTGTATTCTCTGATACTCACTAAATATGCATTGTAGGTGCCGTGGATTGGCCGAGCCATCAGGGAGATCTTCAGAATGAATAGGGTCCATCAGGGTACAACATGCACAGAATATATATTGTGGCAAAATCCACTGGCCCCTTAACTCTGAGACCAAACCAGTCCCTGCAAGCACACTGAGATTATGCACAGCTAGTTGCTTGGCAGAGAATACTGAATTTACTTATTTATTTTAATTTTTTATTTTTTTGGGACAAAGTCATGCTCTGTCACCCAGGCTGGAGTGCAGTGAAGTGCAATCATGGTTCATTGCAGCCTCAACCTCGCAGGCTCAAGCTATCCTCCCACCTCAGCCTTTTGAATAGCTGAGACTCCAGGTATGTGCCACCATGCCCAGCTAATTTTTTTTATTTTTCATAGAGATGAGGGTCTCACTATAAGTTACCTAGGCTGGTTTTGAACTCCTGGGCCCAAGTGATCCTTCTGCCTCAGCCTCCCAAAGCACTGGGATTATAGGTGTGAGCCACCATGTCTGGCTGAATTTATATAGATAATGAGATTGCTACAGAAAGAGGTACTTCTCAGAACTTGCTTAAGGCAGGCTGACAATCACAAAAAATTTGTTGGTGCTGGTTTTAGACGAGGTTGCTTTTGGCTAGATGGATCGGTATTAGTTTGAAAGGACTGCCATAATAAAACACCGCAGACTGGGTGGCTTTATGCAACAGAAATTTACTTTCTCAGAGTCTGGGAAGCTAGAAGTCCAAGATCAAGGTGTTGGCAGGTTTGGTTTCTTCGGAGGCCTCTCACCTTGGCTTGTAGATGGCTTTTCCTCTGTGTGTGAACATCCCTGGTATTTCTCTGTGCCCACATTTCCTCTTCCTTATAAGGATACCAGTCAAATTGGATTAGGGCCCAGCCTAATGCCCTCCTTTTAACTGAATCACATCTTTATTTATTTACTTTTTGAGACAGAGTCTCTCGCTGTTGCCCAGGCTGGAGTGCAGTGGCATGATCTCGGTTCGTTGAAGCCAGCCCGGTTCAAGCAATTCTCATGCCTCAACCTCCTGAGTATCTGGGACTACAGAGGTGTGCCACCATGCCCAGCTAATTTTTGTATTTTCGGTAGAGACAGGGTTTTGCAAGTTGGCCAGGCTGGTCTCAAACTCCTGACCTCAAGTGATCTGCCCGCCTTGGCCTCCCAAAGTGCTGGGATTACAGGTGTGAGCAACCGTGCCCAGCCTGAATCACCCCTTTAAAGGCCCTATCTCCAGATACATTCATATTCTGAGATAGTGGGGATTAGGGCTTCCCTGAATTTTGGAGGGAGGCATGATTCAGCCCATAACATGATCCAGTGAGTAAATGTATTGAGAACAATGGGAGATGGGATTCTCACTATTGGAAAAGAGAGCTATAAATGTGGAAAGATTGAAAACCAGATTGGGATTGAAGTACTAAAGTGCAATCATGGACACACACACACACACACACACACACACACACACACACACACACAGAGATATAAATATGTACAGGTACATATGCAGATGTTCTTGCCTCTGGCTACCGAGAGGGCTCAGGAGCAGCAAGACCCTGACAGCAGTACAACCAGTGTTCAAATCTTGGTTCCTAAAAATTATTTTTTACTGACAGGAACCAGGTTTGTTGTTGTTTGAGAAATGGCTGTTTCCAGGGCTAGAGCAGGGAAGTTCTAAAATGAGACTGGGATATTTAATTTGAAGGGGCTCCTACTGGCCAAATCTGGGACTATTTAAGCGTCAAAATGAATGATGAGGCTGGGCGCGGTGGCTCACGCCTGTAATCCCAGCACTTTGGGAGGCCGAGGCAGGCGGATCACAAGGTCAGAAGATCGAGACCATCCTGGCTAACATGGTGAAACCCTGTCTCTACTAAAAATACAAAAAAATTAGCCAGGCGTGGTGGCGGGCGCCTGTAGTCCCAACTACTCGAGAGGCTGAGGCAGGAGAATGGCGTGAACCCGAGAGGCGGAGCTTGCAGGGAGCCGAGATCGCGCCACTGCACTCCAGCCTGGGCGACAGAGCAAGACCCCGTCTCAAAAAAAAAAAAAAAAAAAAAAAATGAAAGTAATGAATTATAACCTATTGAATTAGTAGGAATCGTTGAATCCACACTGATATAATTAACTAAATGAATAAATAGGCCAGGCGATGTGGCTCATGCCTGTAATCCCAGCACTTTGGAGGACAAGGTGGGTGGATCACTTGAGGTCAGGAGTTTGAGACCAGCCTGGCCAACATGGTGAAGCCCCGTCTCTACTAAAAATTATAAAAAATTAGCCGGGCATGGTGGCACGTGCCTGTAATCCCAGCTACTCAGGAGGCTGAGGCAGGAGAATCGCTTGAACCTGGGAGGTGGAGGTTGAGGTTGCAGTAAGCCTAGATTGCACCACTGTATTCCAGCCTGGGTGACAGAGCGAGACTCCATCTCAAAAAAAAAAAAAATGAGGAGAGGAGAAAATATTTTCTTGCAGCAGAGTGTCAATGAATAAATGGAGAAGGAACGATGGAGTTAGAAAATCACTATTTACGCTGGGCGTGGTAGCTCAAGCCTGTAATCCCACCACTTTGGAGGCTGAGGTGGGAGGATTGCTTGAGGGAGATCGAGACCAGCTTGGGCAACATGGTGAGGCCCCGTTTCTCCAAAAAAAAAAAAAAAAAAAAAAAGAATAAATTAGCCAGGTGTAGCAAATGCCTGTAGTCCCAGCTACTTGGGAGGCTGAGGTGGGAGGATTGCTTGAGCCTGGGAGATCAAGGCTGCAGTGAGCCCTGATTGCACCAGCGCACTCCAGCCTGAGTGAGAGAGTAAGACCCTGTTTTGAACATAAATAAATAAATGAAATCATCATTTGGCAATCATTATCATCATAATTAATTCAGAACTAAGAAACATCAATGGACGCTGAGGCTAGAGAGCAAAAGTTTGACAAAGTAATGGTATCTACATAATTTCAAAATATCTCCTAAAAATGCTTATTAATTACAAAGGGGAAAAGAGTAACATACAGTGGAGAAAGCTGGCAGATACCACCTTAATCAGGTGATCAAAGTTAATATCACCAGTAATGACACAAATCTAGATTGCATACCATCTGATGGGAGGCAATGAGAAGAACACAGTGTCATTTTTTTGTGGTATTTCTGCCAAAAACACATATCCTGAATCTAACCACGAGGAAACATCAGACACACACAAAAAACTGTCCTGTAATCTCCAAAAATGTGAAGGTCATGGAGACAAGGGAAGTAAAGAACTATTCCAGATTGAAGGAGACAAAAGAGACATGATGCAACAGGTCATCTGAAATGGTTTATTTTGTTTTCTAGAGGATATTAATGGAACAATTTGCAAAACTTGAATGAGTCTCTAGATTAGATGGTCATAATGTATCGTGTTAATTTCCTGATTTTGGTGTTTTTATTTTGGTTATATAGAAGGATGTCCTTGTTTAAAAGAATTATAGACTAAAGTGTTTATGTGTTATGGGGCATCATGTTGGCAATTTATTTCCAAATGGTTCAGGAAATCAAGGGGTTCTTTATCCTAGTCTTGAAAATTAATGTTTAAAATTATTCCAAATTTATAAAATTATCTAGACAAGAAGAAGGTAAAATAAACGTATTTTACAAAACAAAACAGACAAACAAAAACTGAGTGTTTGTTACCAGCAAACCCACTGAAGGAAGTTCTAATGCACATTTTTTTTTCAGGCAGAGTGAAAGTAGTCTCGGATGGAAGGTTGGAGAGAAATGAAGGAACAAATAAACAAATGGAGAACAAAGAAAAGGGTAAATGAATGGGTAATGTACAAGAACCTCAACTGTAGAGTTTTAAAATACATGACAGAAAATAAGTTGGGAAGGAGATATGTAAAGTTAAATATTCTTTTTTATTTTTGAGATGGAGTCTTGCTCTGTTGCCCAGGCTGGAGTGCAATGGTGTGATCTCCACTCACTGCAACCTCTACCTCCTGGGTTCAAGCAATTTTTCTGCCTCAGCCTCCTGAGTAGCTGGGATTATAGGTGCCTGCCACCATACCTGGCTAATTTTTGTATTTTTAGTAGAGATGGGGTTTCATCATGTTGGCCAGTCTAGTCTCAAACTCCTGACCTCATGTGATCTGCCTGCCCCAAAGTGCTGGCATTACACCCGTGAGCCACCGTGCCCAGGCTAAAGTTAAATACTCTAAAAATTGTTTGCATTTTCTGGGAGGAAGGTAGATGTACTGATTACACTATATTTTGATAAGCCAAAGATGCATATTATAATGGAGTTTCGCTCTTGTTGCCCAGGCTAGAGTGCGTGGGAGGATCTCAGCTCACTCCATCTCAAAAAAAAAAAAAAAAGGGAAAATACAGGTAGTCTTCTAAATTATCTTATTAAATATTTATGTACACACACACATATATATATATATATATATATATATATATTTTTTTTTTTTTTTTTTTTTTTTTTTTTTTGAGACAGAGTCTCGCTCTGTTCCCCAGGCTAGAGTGAAGTGGCACAATCTCAGCTCACTGCAGCCTCCACCTCCTGGGTTCAAGCAATTGTCCTGCCTCAGCCTCCTGAGTAGCTGGGGCTACAGGCGCCCACCACCATGCCTAGCTAATTTTTGTATTTTTAGTACAAAATGATGGGGTTTCACTATGTTGGCCAGGCTGGTCTCGAACTCCTGAGCTCAGGTGATTTACCCACCTCAGCCTCCCGAACTGCTGGGATTACAAGGGTGAGCCATTACACCCAGCCTGTATTTTCTAGAGATCAAGGAGATGGTTTTAATCAAGACTGGATGCCAAAAGTTATAAAAGAAAAGATAAACATATTTGACTAAAACATTAAAAATATTTTGTAAGTGATACCATAAAAAAGTTATTGGGCAAATGATAGTAACTGTAATGCAGATGGTAGTCAGATTTAATTTCTGTAAAGTTAATCTTGCAAATTTCAGCTCCTATAAATTGACAAGATTAATATTAAATGATACAAGTAGATGTTTTCTATTGCTTCCCAACAGAAAAATGGGCAACAGATATGGAGAGAAAATTCACGGAAGTCCAAATATATCCAATAGCCATATAAAAAGGTGTTCAAATGTCTTGGTGGTCAGGATGGGGCCACTGGCATTACCTTCATATAAACAAGAAAAGGCTGGGGCCCCTTCCTCTGCACTGAACACCATTAGGATGCTTGTTTTTGCAAACCATTTGTGGGCCAGATTTCTGCCCCATCGTCCTATGCACAAACTGCACAGTGTATGCAGTGGCCCAGATTCAGAGAAATGCAAATGCCTAATGAAATATTCCTTTTTATCCATTAAACTGGCAAAAAATTAAGAAGAGTCATGATACCTGTTGCCAGCAGGACTGTGGGGTGACATGTGCTCCATCCATTGCTAGTGTTGTCATAGAGCATTCTGGCCTTTCTTTTTTGGAAGGCAGTCTGGCAATATCTATTAAAATTAAAAATACATATTTCCTTTGACCCCAGAATCCTACTCCTAGGAATCTATTCCATAAAATAAAAGTGCTAATTTGTATGAACATGTGTGCAAGAATATTTATTGCAGCCTTGTTTGTAGCTGCCAAGAACCAGAAACCTAGTGAATGGCCATTAATCAGGGAATGGCTGAAAAATTAAAATATATTACTCCATAGAATATTATATGGCCATTCAATGGGATGAATGATAGCCTTACCAGATGTCTGAGAGAGATTTCCAAGAGATACCAGTGAGTGAGAAAAGTAAGATGCAGAATGAGTGTAATGTGATTCCATCATTGTAAAAAAAGAACAGAAAACCTCCCTGCATGTGTCAGTGTATATGAAAATGTATACTGGTGTGTGTATGGTTACAAAGGAAAATATATATGGACACACCCTATGTTCTTGTTAATGTTGGAGGAGGAGAGGAAAAGAGAACAGTTGTTCGTAATAAAAACAGCAAGTATGATATGATCCTATCCATGTAAAACTGTGGCGTGTGTGTGTGTGTGTGTGTGCATGTGTGTGTATATAAATGCACTGCAAGAAGTCTACCTCATTTTTACTGGTTAGGATGGTGAGATTTTAAGAGACTTTCATTTTCATGATTGTATCTTTATGTATTGTTCCAATTTTTTTTTTTTTTTTTTGAGACAGAGTCTCAGTCTGTCACCCAGGCTGGAGTGCAGTGGCGCTATTTTGGCTCACCACAAGCTCCTCCTCCTGGGTTCAAGTATTCTCGTGCCTCAGCCTCCGAAGTAGCTGGGACTATAGGCGCATGGCACCACACCCGGCTAATTTTTTATATTTTTAGTAGAGATGGGGTTTTGCCATGTTGGCCAGGCTGGTCTGGAACTCCTGACCTCAGGCAATCCGCCCACCTCAGCCTCCCAAAGTGCTGGAATTACAGGTGTGAGCCACCGCACCCAGCCATATTGTTCCAATTCTTCATAATAGATGTGCATTGTTTTTATGTCCAGGAAAAAGATGAAATTATTTTCACATTGAAAATAAAATGAAAACAGAAACCAAATAAACCTCAAACTCCTAATACCAATAGGCCTCGGTAATGTATACATTCTTATTTATCATTGGCTTGAGGGGGCTCAGCTGGAGAAAGGGATGAAAGAGCATGAACAAAGGGAACGCCTATTGCTCTGAAGTATTACCTCCATTGTGGATTATGGGGCAGTTGGGAAAAGGTTTAAAGTCACACATACATTTGCCACTGCCCATCTCTTTGATGGCTTTACTGTGTAAGCAGAATCATTTGCTGCTTTAGGTAAACTTACTTTTTTTGTTTGTTTGTTTTTTTGAGACAGAGTCTCACCCTGTCACCCAGGCTGGAGTGCAGTGGTGCAATCTCGGCTCACTGCAGCGTCCGCCTCCCAGGCTCAAGCAATTCTCCTGCCTCAGCCTCCCTAGTAGCTGGGATTACAAGCATGAGCCACCACGCCGGGCTAATTTTTGCATTTTTAGTAGAGATGGGGTTTATCATGTTGGCCAGGTTGGTCTCGAACTCCTGACCTCAAGTGACCCGCCCACCTCGACTTCCCAAAGTGTTGGGATTACAGGCATGAGCCATCGTGCTTGGCCTTAGGTAAACTTTTAAAAACTTTTAGTAGAAGTTTGATATTTTGGTATTTGTTTTTTTCCTTGCGGGAGATGCACCATGGTAAACTGGTTTTGAAATTCCCCACCTTCCCCAGAGGGGAATGTCAAAGCGGCAGAAAGGCCAAGAGAGGAAAAAGAACAGTATCAAGGAAAAAGAGGAGCTGGGAGGGGTGGCTCACGCCTGTAATACCAGCAAGTTGGGAGGCTGAGGTGGGAGGATCCCTTGAGTCCGGGAGTTTGAGACCAGCCTGGGCAACATAGTGAGACTTTGTCTCTACAAAAAAATGAACAAAATTAGACAGGTGTGGTGGTGCATCCCAGCTACGTGGGAGACTGAAGTGGGTGGATCACTTGAGCCTGGGAGAATGAGTCTGCAGCCTGGGTGACAGAGTGAGACCCTCTGTCTCAAAAAAAAAAAAAAAAAAATCAAATAAAAGGAGTAGAGGCTTCTCCAACAGTAGGGGCACTGACGGTTGCCTGCTGCTTCAAAGGTATGTGTGGTTTTATTCGACTGAGAAAAAGGTTTCTTCCCTGCTTTTCAGATAGCTAATGAAAATAGCTTTGTGTGATATGACAAACCTGGTGTTGCAAATTTTAGATTTGAGAGTAAAATTCATTTTTGTGTTTTGAACTTGAAAGAAGAGCTATTTGAATCCTTTTGTAGTTCATAAGCGTGATGATTGGGTTTTCACGCGCATGTGTGAGCTTGTTATGATGTTGGCATATTACCCGTCTGACGTGGAAAAAAAAAGTTATTTGGACTGGAGTTTAGAGATTGGCAAACTTGTTGACCTAGTTTTAAGTGGAGGCTGTTAGTTACTCTAAGTTTGCTTCTACAGTCATCCTTTTATTTCCTGCCAGTAAAATGAGGATCCTGAGAGTATGTCTAAGGAGCTGTTGAGAGGCTTACACAGGCTCATTTGGATAAAGCAATTTAGAACAGTGTCTGCACTTGGGAAGCAGTATTCAATGTGACTCTTATTATTATGATGAATCCTTTCTCATTGGTTGGGCTCAGCTGTCTGCTTGAACAGGAAGCACTTTACAAAAAGTTTTTTGGAAATGGTTTATAATGTAATATAGGGTATTGATATAGTTTAAGATTCTGAGATATTGTCTGAATTACTTTGTGTATAATACTTCACCCAATGCTGTGAACTTGAGGGCACTAAATTCTATTTGATGGCAAAATTCAATCAATGGTTACTTATAGTCAACTTATAATGAGATTTAGGGATTTAATAGGATGTGGAAAAAACTTTTGATTTCTTTAAATAAATGTGTTTTACAATAAAATCAGGCACTATGGATTTTCTATTTGGGATAGCACAAATAGAAAGTTTAGCTCCATGGATGTCTAGCAGGTTCCATCAGGAATGCCTTTTTCTTTTTCATTTCTTTCTTTTTTTTTGAGATGAGTTCTCACTGTGTTGCCCAGGCTGGAGTGCATGTCACAATCATAGCTCACTGCAGCCTTGACCTCCTGGGCTCAAGTGATCCTCCTGCCTCAGCCTGCTGAATAGCTGGGATTACAGGTGCACACCACCACACCTGGCTAATTTTTGTGTTTTTTGTGGAGACACAGTTTCGCCATGTTATCCAGGATGGTCTCATACTTCTGAGTTCAAGTGATTATCCTGCCTCGGCCTCCCAAAGTGCTGGGATTACAGATGTGTGCCACCACGACTGGCCAAGAATATCTTTTTCTAAGAACTAATAAAAGGGCCTTTTATGATATCATGTTATGAGGATGAATTAAGAGGTTTTGCTATTGGATTTGAACTATTGTTTCATGTTACGATGTCCCACCACCTATTTAACCTCTTCAGTTCTGCCATCAGAATGTTGGAGTGCCATTACCAACTCTGCATCTCCTCCTCTCTTCCTCCTGGAGTTCTGGGTAAGCTATTTTGACCCACCCACTGGGAGAGCACTCTGGGCGTTGGAAGGTTAGGAGCCCTGAAAAGAAGGCAGGAGAAGAGAAGCCCTCATTCTTCTACATTAGCTGTGAGCCTGCAAAGGAAACCCCCTGCAGGGCTCCCAGATTTTAAAAGCGCCCTGGTGAGTAATGACCTGGTGAGTAATGCTCCTGCAGAGCACATGCGGGGCTCTGCCCTGTCTCCCACCTCTTTCCTTATAGTCCTTACTTAAAATAGAAACCAGTTAAATATGGTAGCCAGCTGGGAGCCTGACTTTCTACTCCTAATGCTCGCCTACCTGCCTCACGTTTAGAATTTTTTTTTTTTTTTTTGCAAAGTGAAAGCAAGTTTATTAAGAAAGTAAAAGAATAAAAGAATGGCTACTCCATAGACAGAGCAGCCCTGAGGGCTGCTGGTTGCCCATTTTTATGGTTATTTCTTGATGATATGCTAAACAAGGGGTTGATTATTCATGCCTCCCCTTTTTAGACCATATAGGGTAACTTCCTGACGTTGCCGTGGCATTTGTACACTGTCATGGCGCTGGTGGGAGTGTAGCAGTGAGGACGACCAGAGGTCACTCTTATCACCATTTTGGTTTTGGCCGACTCCTTTACTGCAGCCTGTTTTATCAGCAAGTTCTTTATGACCTGTATTTTATGCTGACTTCCTATCTCATCCTGTGACTTAGAATACCTTAGCTTACTGAGAATGCAGCCCAGTAGGTTTCAGCCTCATTTTACCCAGCTCCTATTTAATATGGAGTTGCTCTGGTTCACACGCCTCTGACAGCAGGATTTCAAGACCAGCCTGGGCAAGACAGCGAGACCCTGACTCTCTTGGGAGACCAGGTCCTGCTCTAGTGGCTGGTCTGCATGCAAAAGCGCCCCCAGGCTTGGCCCAGCCCCTTGGGATTCACCCCGCTTTTAGAAATGTAGAGTAAGTTCCAGAGTGCTTGGACATCCTTTCCTAAAGGGCTTTGTGTGGGGGACAGATTTGCACCCCTTTTCCAGCAGCACCATGTGCTCTTGATGCATTTAAGGCATCTGCTCTCCATTTATTCTCCTGATCCCAGAAAGAAGATTGGGAATAATTATTTGAGTTTTCAGTCTGTGCTCTGGGTACCTCTTTGCAGAGTGTCTGAGGCATAAATCTGTCTGTGACTTCCGGGACAAATGAATAGTCATTTGAAACATCAGCCATGGGTAGGTGTGGCCTCTGGGGCTTTTCCACAAGGCAGGGCAGGGCTAATCTGTAAAATAACATTTGAGGCCATTCTGCTGGATGTTCAAGTTCAGGTACTTGACCATTCAGGGGACATAGATATAGGCTACAGGTACAACATGGCATTCACAAAGGAAGAAGCAGAAGGTGTTGTAGGTTTCATGAGCAAAGAAAGTAGTGTGGGTTGCAGTTTTGTTACAGGTGTAAGCAACAAAAAGAAAAAAAGATGAAAAAATAAAAGAAACAAAATGAAAGTGGCATGGTGCATGTCTTATATTTGCACAGGGGTTGCACAGGGAATGTCTCTCCAAGTTCTTGCAGCAGGGAGAAGGCAGGTTCCAAAGCATTGCTGGCTACCCCAGCAATCGGGGCACTATGAGCAAACTGGATCAGTGCATACTAAGGCTGTTTTTTTTTTTTTTTTAATTTTTTTCTTCTCATGCCTTGCATTCCTTCTGGGCAAAACTGGAATAGTTCGGGAATTCTTGCTTCATGTGCTGTTGAGTCTACTGAATCTAAGTTTCTGGCAACAAACGAACTAGATGGGCAAACAATTTGAGGTAAGTGTGTGAGGTTAATTTTTTCTTCTGCTCTCAATGAATAACAGATCTGATGCAAAAACAGCTCTGGCTATGGAAGTGGGCATCTTTTTCCCCCCATCTGACTCAGCATAGGTGAGAAATAACTTGAACATGTTTTACTGCTCTAATGGTATGCAGGATCACAGGTCATCTTTTCTTAGAGGAAAGTCTCTGCTCCCCTTGAATTTGCAGATGGACTCACCAAAGCTCAGCAAGGAAAAGAGGAATTATAAAGAGGACTTAATTAATTCATTATTTTTTTTTGAGACACAGTCTCACTCTGTCATCCAAGCTGGAGTGCAGTGGTGCAATCTCCACTCACTGCAACCTCTGCCTTCCAGGTTCAAGCCATTCTCCCACCTCAGTCTCCTGAGTAGCTGGGACTACGGGCATGTGCCACCACACCCGGCTAATTTTTGTATTTTTAGTATAGACAGGGTTTCGCCATGTTGGCCAGGATGGTCTCGAACTCCTGACCTCAGGTGATGCGCCTGCCTTGGCCTCCCAAAGTGCCAAGATTACAGACGTGAGCCATTGCACCTGGCCAAGAGGATTTACTTTTGTTACAACATGTATATTTTGGTTGATCCAGTGGAGTAATTTCTTTAATTTCAGCTAAGTGATCTAGCCATGGTTCTTACTCAACTATATCACTCAGAAAGTATCCTAAGATCTGGCTGGGCATGGTGGCTCACACCTGTAATCCCAGCAGTTTGGGAGGCTGAGGCGGGCGGATCACATGAGGCCAGGAGTTGGAGAGCAGTCTGGGCAAATGGCGAAACCCTGTCTCTACTAAAAATACAAAAATTAGACAGGCGTGATGGCCCCCCTCTAGTCCCAGCTACTCGGAAGCCTGAGATAGGAGAAACACTTGAACCCGGGAGGCGGAGGTTGCAGTGAGCTGAGATCGCACCACTGCACTCCAGCCTGGGTGACTGAGTGAGATTCTGTCTCAAAAAAAAAAAAAAAAAAAAAAGTATCCTAAGATCTGAGCAGTCAAGTTTTTCATTGCTGCATCGGTTTGACAGGTGGTGTATTCTTTACATGTCAATATCCTGATGGGGCATTAATGCAGGACTGTCTGTCATGGACCTAATTGTCATTCACTTTCAACAAACATCTCATGAATACTTACTATGTTCCAGAACTTCTTGACAGAAGAACTCGTTTGTGTCATAGTGGTGCTCCTTCAACCTTTTCCTGCCTTCCAGGTACCCATGTAAATATTGCTGTTTGGCAGTTCCTTCTAGAGCTGGAACCCAACAGGATTTCCCAACTTTATGACTTTCAAAGGGTGGCATCCCTGCTCACTGACACTAGAGGGCGCCCAATTGCCAGTAACAAATTTGGGCACTGGGATTTAGGGCACTGTTTGAAAACTTGTTTTACTCTTCAGCAAAAAACAGTTGCACAACTTCATCCTCCTCCCAATGGGGCATCAAAGAAGGAGACACTCTAATGTGGACTAGACGTTGGTTTGTTTCCATTAAGGCTTGCTTTCCTAAAACCCAGGCTTTTGGACTATCCCTGAGAACAGTGAGTAACTTGTTAGTAATTGCATATCCTGGTTGTTGCATTTAATCCCATCCTGCTGTCATCCACCACATCCCTATCTAATTCCAGAATATCTCAGCATGAAGCTCTCGAAAGGACTGGCTCCTTTCTAAACCTCAAAAGGCTTACAGACAGACCAGTCCGGTTCTCATTTTGCTCTCTGTTTTGTCTAATGCCCCTTTTCCTTGAACACAGGCAAGCCTTATCTCCCATTTTGGTCCAGGACTATCTGGCTACAATGAATTTGTTTGGTCTCATTCTGTTAACTCAGACTCCCTCTAACTCCACCATTCCTTGTCATCTGTTCTTTCCCTTCTTTGTTCCTGTTCAGCATCAACGAGTTCTCAATTTTGCATTTTCTATCTGGGAAGAAGGGAGAAGTATTTCTCAAGTGTTGACTGTGTGTCAGTTACTCTTCTTTATGTCACTTACAGTATCACATGCAGAAGCTGGTATGAATAGCCCCATTTTACAGATGAGTACACTGAGGTTCATGGTCAAGTCACCTGCCAGAGGTTGTGTACCTTGGAAGTAGTCAAGCTGGGATTCAGTTCTAGGGTTTTTGGATTTCTCTTTCTCCACTACCACCCTCCTTCCTTAGACTTTTATACTATTTGATATTGTCATCAGTGCTTCCAGTCATATTCCTTGTTTTTGTTCCTTGGTTTTGTCACATGAAAGTTTATCCAAAATTCATAATTCATGATCAAAACTAGCTAAAGACATTATAAAACTGAAAAAGGACCTCAATTCAGATGGAATTGTCCCTCCTACCCGCACTATATCTCAGAACTTAAAAGAAACCCAAATTTGAGGTAGGAGTAGCTTTGGTCATTAAGTAAAACAGGTTCTCAGTTCAGCCCGCATTGTGAGACTTCATTTGAGGAGTCACTCCAGAGTAGCTAATATACAAGATTTTTTTTTTTTTTTCTGTCTTGCTTTGTAGCTCAGGCTGGAGTACAGTGGTGTAATCATGGCTCACTGCAGCCTTGACCTCTGGACTTAGGCAATCCTCCCACCTCAGCCTTCAGGCTTCATATAAATATAGAAGCACCAAATTGAAAATTGAATCTCTTCTAATAGTCTCCATTTTCTACCTGTTTAACACAGTTCTAAAGGAGAAAATAGCCACAGAAATTTCTGGTATTTATTATGAGTAGAGAATTTTTAAAAATAGCTTAATTGAGATATAATTCATATACCATAAAATTTACCCACTTATAGTGTACAAAGCTGGGCATTATAGTGTACAAAGCTGGTTCCATGGCTTCTATCCATCTCTCCTGCTGTGGTCACTTGAGGTGGGAGGATCCTTTAGCCCAGGAGTCCAGCCTGGGCAACATAGTGAGATACTGTCTCTAAAAACAAACAAACAAACAAAGTACACAGTTCAATAGTGTTTAGTATATCCAGAGATATGTGCAGCCATCACCACAGTCAATTTGAGAACATTTTCATCACCTCGAGAAGAAACCCCATATCGTTCAGCTGTCCCCCTCCTATTCCCACACACTTGCCGTCTCCAGCCCTGAGTAACCACTAATCTCCTTCCTGGCCCTGTGGATTTCCATATTCTGGAATTTCATGAGAATTGAATCATAGAGTGTGCAGTCTTTTGTGACTGGCTTCTTTCACTTAGCACTATGTTTTCATGATTCATCCATGTTGTATTGTAGCATGTAACAGTACTTTTATTTTTTTTTACGGCGAAATAATGTTCTCTTGTATGGATACACCACCTTTGGCTTATCTATTTGTCTGCTGATGGACATTTGGGTTGCTTCCACCTTTTGGATATTGTGAATAATGCTGCCATAAACATTCATGTCCTGTTTCTTTGTGGACATATGTTTTCATTTCTCTTGGAGATATACCTAGGAGTGGAATAGCTGGGTCACATGGTAACTCTATGTTTAGTCATTTGTGGAACTGCTGGACTGCTTCCCAAAACAGCTGGACCATTTTACAATTACACCATCAGCATATTAGGGTTCTGATTTCTCCATTTCTCTGTTCTTAATAACAATTGTTATTTTTGACTTTTTGATTTTAGCCACCTAGTAGGTATGGAGTAGATTTTTTTTTTTTTTGTAAATAGAGAGAGAGTCTCACTATGTTGCTCAGGCTGGTTTTGAACTCCTGGCCTCAAGCCATCCTCCCTGTCTTGGTCTCCCAAACCGTTGGGATTATAGGTGTGAGCCACCTGGCTGGGCCTAGCTTTTTTTTTTTTTTTTTTTTTTTTTTAATGGGGAGGGATTTATATCACTAGATTTAGTAATTTGTGCTTTTACTTATTCTTGCAACTACCAATTATTAACCATCTGCTAGGCCTTGGGCCAGACTCTGGAGATTTAAGGTGTCCTATCTGGCCTCTACACCTTGTGGGATAGGAAAACAGAAAATGAGATGTACTAAAATACAAGTATTTTAATAGAGCTATTCATAAAACTGTGCAAAAACCCAAAGCAGCAAGTGCCTAACTTGAGATATATTTAATCCAAATAAGTGTTAGATTTAAGCTACTGAATGGCTACGATTAAAATGTTTACCATCAGCTTTATCAAAAGCCTTTCTAGAAACATGGTGGCTTTCAGAGTCGCTGTTAATGAGCCCACTTGTGTCTAGAAAATAGCCCTCACTTTCAGAATTGTCATTGAGTTACAACTATTACAATATGGTGACAATACAAATATGTGTCTGTTGTACATGGACACAATAAGTCGTGTTATCCTTTGATTGGTGAGAACAAAGAGCATCTGATGACTTTGGGATTCCAGGTACAGAAAATAAATTTCCTTTGCTGCTTAGGTCTTTAATAGTCCCATTTTATTGGATTTTTCGCCTTTCCCCTTACCAGAACCAATTACTTCCATTTTTTCCCTTCTCTCAGCAGTCCCACCTCGCTGATTTTCCCTGCTCCATTTCCTCTATCTTTATTTACTTCGGGGTTCTCTGGGCTGTGCCTCTGTCCCAGAACCCATTGCTGCATTGGAGAAGTTGTCCTCAGCCTGGCTGCCCTGTTGGCTTAGATGCATTTAAAATGCACAGGGCCCTCTGTGGGCTTTAGGAACATTTGCTCACCTTCTTCTCTTTTCCTCTGGAGTAGCATAAACATGGAGTTGAGGTCCTTTTGCAACTATACAGGCCAGAGTTCATTGCCCGAGGCTGTCTGAGAACAGAAAACACCTGCTTTATTTCAGCAGGCCTCTGTCTCCCTCTTTGCCAGAGTGGGGGACATTTTAGGTTCCGTGGCTTCCATCCATCTCTCCTGCTGCGGTCACCTATTTTTATATGGTGGTGTAAATATCTGCAGGACAACAAGACTTAATATGCCCTCCTGTGCTTGGCTTGTAGACTTCTCCTGGATGATTCCTGACTAATGACAGAGTAGAAGCCTGAGGTCATGTAAATGTTGTGAGTGAGGGAAACAGGTGCCTGGGAGTGTCACCACACTTAAAGCAACACCCTGTAGAAAGCCCTCTTTGGGGGCCTTTGAGGCATCCACCTTTGCAGATGAAAAAAAGCTTCTCTAACCAAGAAATGGCCAAGGGGTGAATTTTCTTTCTTCACATGTATGTATAGTTTTAAGGAATTTTGTTCATGCATGTCTTGGTCACTCCCCATGGTGGTAATAAGGGACAGTGTTTTTCTCCTGTTCCATTCTGTCCCTGTCTGCAGGAGGCCTTGCCAGTTGCTTTGACTTAGGACAGAAGAACTACCAGGATTTCAGATATGGTGTCCATGTGGGTGGGCTGAAGGAGGACTTGGAAAATGTGGACTTGGCAGGTAGAGGAGGGTGGAAGAGAGAGAGGAGAGTTAGCCATCTTAAATAAATAGACCCCATGAGAGCTCTGCAACCAGTGGCTTTATCAGGAAGAAGACCCGAGGCCCACTTGAGATGGTCTGGTGTTAGTGAGGGAGAAGGGGGCTGGGGCTGGTCTTTAGAGTAGACTGTGATTACTCTGTGTGATTTGAGTGGAGAAACCTCCTGTGTAAAAATATTCCATCTGCTGGCTTTCCTGGTGTCTGAGGTTCTAATCAAGCCACTACTTATGCACGTGTGTGTGTGTGTGTGTGTGAGAGAGAGAGAGTGTGTGTGTACTGTGTATCTTATGAAGTCTTAATCCCTTCCTTGTGTAGGTTTTGAGGTGTCCTAGAATTCCCTCTTAAAATGCAACCACCCAGGAGGGAAACTCCTTTAAATCAATTCAGAGCATGTCGTAAAGGAAAGGATGGGGATTAGAAGAAGGGAATTTGGAAGAGGCTCCCACTGAAGGTGAAGTCCTTAGAGGAAGGAAAGCTGGCACTGTTGCGTGGAGGGGGATATTAAGACAATCTCAGCCTCTCACAGCCTCTCAGCCTAGGTTACCCACCATTGCCCCAGGGGATAGATTTATACCAACATTAGGGAAGTGTTGGGGATGGAGGATTAAGGTTTTCTAGTAAGGCAAACCCCTGCTCCATGACAGAAAATCTCAGTGCTTCATTGGCCTCCAGCCCTCAGGCCTTGGCCTTGACTGTGTGTTTCTCCAGTCAAGACCAAGCTGACCAATGTCCATTCCCAGGTGCATCATCCAGGGCCCCTCCTGTGTCCCTCAAACCCACAGCATGCCAGTCACCAAGTCCTGCCGATTCTACTTCCTTAGAAGCCACTGATTCTGCCCTGTATACCTCATCCTGGGCTGCCACAGCCCCTTAACAGGTTCCCAGGCCTGCAGCTCAGCTTTCAATCCATGGTCATGCTGCTGCTGGAATGAACTTGTAAAAAAAGGCAGATGTCTTCATTTTCACTCCTAGCTTAAAATCTTTTGGTGTTGCCTGATGGCCTCCCAGATGAAACACATTTTTTAGCAATAACACCCGCTCCTTGCTTCTGCTTTCTCTGTCTCACTCATCCCTCTGCATAAATTACCTTCCTACCAGAGGGATCTCTTGAAATCACAGTGCCCTCTCCCACTTCCCTGAAGGTGCTGCCATCTCTGTAGGGACACCCTTTCCTCCTCCAGGTCATCCGGGACTTAGCTCAGGCATCAGCTCTTCTAGGAAGACGATCCTGACCTTCTGTGTTCTGGCAGGTGCTCTTCATCCAGCCCCACAGTGCCCTGAGCTCCGTGGCTTCCTGTTTCTGCCTTGTAACTGCCTTCTCCTCCCACCCCATCTCTCAAATATGATCCCTTTAAAGTGGGGTTATGGGGGTTTTCTTAGGTCTTTCTGTACTCCAAGGCCCAGCAGTAGATAATCTACAAATATTTGCTATATGAATTAGCTGTTGCTAGGTTATGGTTTTGGTGTAGAAGGCCTTTCACCCCTTGGCTTATTTCTAAGAGCTCCCCAAGCAAGGCCCAATTTAAATATGACCTTCTCCTTGAAGTCTTTCCCTCGACCAGCGTTAGAAATGCTCAAGAACTACCCCCTCCCTCCACTGACGTTCTTTGATATGTATCACTTCTCCTTCTTCTCCTTTGTTTTGTACAAATCTGTGAAAATCTCAATACCTTGAAACCTTGAAAACCCAAAGGAGTGAATGCATTCAACAAACACTCAAGGATGAACCCTTTGGATTACGGGCACCAGGCCAGGAAAAGAAGACTGGCTGGGCAGGCTGCTGCTTCCTTTTAAGTCACATCAAGTAATTGCTCTACTTGCTCACAGGGTTGGGCCTACTGTCTTTATTCTGTCTCCAGATGGATGGAAATTGCTTTTTGAGAATTGTTTCCACATCTGGTTTATTTTTATTTTGCCACCTGTGCCTAGCGCAATGCCTCCCTTAGAGAAAGCCTCCAGTGACTGAATGAATGAATGAATGAATGAACTAAGTTAGTGAGCAGCAGTAAACATTGATTCTATTTGACTCTGCCCTGAATTATGAGGTTTCAAAGGACTACCCCAGGAGCATCTCGCATCCTGAGAAATTGATTGTGTGTGTGTGTTTGTACACACTGAGATACTGTGAAGGGCCTAAAAACTCCTCTCCCAACATTCCCCCAGGAACAGAGAAAATTAGATCGCAGTTTTGATGCTCCCTTTTCTTCCAAAGGATTCCTCTTCCTCTTCAGCTCAGTGCCTGGAGGAACATATCAGAGCTGGTTCTGGATCTCAGGGAACCAGCACAGCCAACCAGTCGCTGAGGCCATGGCTGGTTGCTCTGTGGATGGACGGAGGGATTGAGGGTGAGCTTGTTCTTGTTTTTAATCCCCATGGGACTTAAAACCCCTTCAGCTCTTGAAGTCCATTAGGAACTGCATTTGTTTTGGATGGCTTTTGTGGCACACTTCCTCTTTCAAATGAACTCTTTGGCTGTTTGGAAGGCCTGTGTCTCCTTCTCTTACTTCTCTCTCATGTTTACATGTGCCTTTAAAAAGTCAGCTGGAAAGGTTGGCACTTGCTACGGAAATGCCATTCTTTCCTGCTTCTGGATGGGTTTCTTATAGCTTTGTGTTGTCTGCTGAAACAGCCCTCAAACTTTTTAGGAGTAAAGAGGGATGGGGGCTGGGTGTGGTGGCTCATGCCTGTAATCCCAGCACTTTGGGAGGCCGAGGTGGGTGGATCACCTGAGGTCAGCAGTTCGACACCAGCCTGGCCAACATGGTGAAACCCTGTCTCTACTAAAAATACAAAAATTAGCTGGGCGTGGTGGCAGGTGCCTGTAATCCCAGCTACTTGGGAGGCTGAGACAGGAGAATCGCTTGAACCCGGGAGGCAAAGGTTGTGGTAAGCCGAGATCGGATCACTGTACTCCAGCCTCAAAAAATAAAATAAATAATTAAGAAAAAGAGAGATGGATGTCCTTTTGGCTTAGGTTCTTGGGTCCTTGGTTGTGCCCAGTGTTCCTTCAAACGGATGGCATTCAACAAATACTTGAGCTGGGCCAGGGAGTTTCACTCACTGACATCAAGGGTGAGTTAATATGGTTGAGAATGGTCCCCACACTTCTTTCCCTGGTGACACACACTTCTTATATGTTTTTATTGTACAGTGCAAAAAGGCAGATCTCTTCATTTTATTGTACAGTGCAACACTGTACAATAAAAATACAATGCCATCCACATGTACAATTTAAAATTTCCTAGTGGCCACATTAAAAAAAAGTAAAAAGAAATAGGTGAAATTAGTCTTCATAACATATTTTCTTTAATCCAGTAAATCCAAAATATCATTTCAACAAATGATCAATGTAAAAATTATAATGAGATATTTTACCTTCTATTTGTCCTAAGTCTTTGAAATCAGGTGCATTGTTTTATACTTACAGCGCATCTCAATTGGGAGTAGCCACATTTCAAGTGCTCAGTAGTCACCTGTGGCCCATGGCTCCTATATTGGACAGTGAAGCTCAACATTCTCCAGGTGAGATGTGGAGGTGATTATTCTGGGGCCACTCTGCTCTCCAAATTAAGCTGCCTAACTAGCTAAATCAAGATAAAAGGGATAGAATACAATGAAGTGTATTCAAATATATGAATAGCTATGGAGCTTTAGAAATGGGATTTTAGGCTATGGGTGCGGTAGTTCATGCCTGTGATCCCAGAACTTTTGGAGGCTGAGGTGGGAGGATCATATGAGTCCAGGAGTTTGAGATCAGTCTGGGCAACATAGTGTTACCTGGTCTCTACAAAAAATTAAAAAATGAACTGAGTATGGTGGTTTGTCCTGTGGTCTCAGCTACTTGGGAGGTTGAAGTGGGAGGATCACTTGACCCCAAGAGTTTGAGGCTGCAGTGAGTTATGTTGAGCTGTGTTTGCACCACTGCACTCCAGCCTGAGCAACAGAGCAAGACCCTGTCTGAAAACAATAACAACAACGACAAAAAACTCCAGGGCTTTGGGAGGCTGAGATGGGTGGATCACCTGAATTCAGAAGTTCGAGACCAGCCTGGCCAGCCTGGCCAACGTGGTGAAACCCTGTCTCTACTAAAAATACAAAAAATTAGCTGGACGTGGTGGTGGGCACCTGTAATCCCAGCTACTCGGGAGGCTGAGGCAGGAGAATCGCTTGAACCCGGGAGGTGGAGGTTGCAGTGAGCTGAGATCACACCACTGCACTCCAGCCTGGGCAACAAGAGTGAAACTCCGTCTCAGAAAAAAAAAAAAAATTTAAAAAGTGTTTTGGTATCACAATCAGCAAGAAGCCTTTTTTAGGGTTATATAGTTATGTGACCCCTCATTGAAACATCATTCTTATTTATTATTTTATTCTAATCCAAGTTGTCCATTTGCTCATTTTTCTTGGATTAATGAGTTTAGAAAACTAAATGTGATGGCTAATTTCACTTTCTGTTGTGCCTTGTTTTTTGGATTCCCTACATTCCATATGCCGTAAGGAAAGAATTAATTATCTCTGTAAGAAATAATAACATGGATTGAAAGCTTGCTGTGTGTCAGACACTTGACATGTATTACCTCATTTAATCCTGGCAAGTAAATATGCCCAAGGTAACCCAGCTGGTAAATAGTGGACTCAGGCTGGTAGATTCCAGAGCTCATACTTCTGCCATGTACAGCACTATGAAATTGCCCCAGAACTGCCAAACTTCTCCAAAACTGTTTAAGGATACTGTCCTCTTTAAACATGCCTACTCTTTGCTTTTGAACCTTCTGGTTAAAAAAAAAAAAAAAAAGAAATCTTTATATTTTGATCTATAATGTAAACATTAAAGTAAAATAACTCTTTTGTTAAATATAAGTGTTTCTTTAAAAGTCATAACTGTATTGATAGAGTTAAAATGACATTCCATTGGGTTACAAAAAGCAAGGCTATCCTTTTTTTTTTTTTAAAGTACTGTCTTTAATTCACTATTTTCCAATCCAATCAATAAATCTGATCTGACATTTTCAAGTTCGTTAGGTAGTTAGAGATTATGCTGGTTTCTGCATCCAGGCCTTAACACAATAAATGATATGTACATGCTTAGAGTATGTGTTTTCTTTAATATGTAATATACATTTGTTTTTTCTCTCTTCCCCCATTGTAAATCTTGTTCAGGACATGCTCTACATTTCCTCCTTTATCAGGCTGCATGTAAGAAAATACGTTGTCGTCTACTAATCTGAATTGTTGTGTCTTTGATACCTCAAAGAGGTTATTGGGAGTTCTAACTGATAATTCAAACTCATACTTCTTGGGTCAGAATACAGTTCTTGCTTTTCAATGATGTCAAGGCCCACCTCAGGCAAAGTATAGGCTTCTGAACCAATTTCTTGTCAAATTAGTAAAGAAGGGATTTTTCAAACTTCAATTTTGGAAAAGGAGATAACTTTTTCAAACTGTAATCTCTGCCAAGATGCTATGCAAAGGATTTACAAAGGAATCTATAGAACTCAATTCTGCTTCTTAAATACGCAGAGAGGAGTTAAAGATTTCAAATCTTTTAAAAACATAGTGATTCAGCCACGTTCTGTTTATCTGTAAATCTAATAGTGTATGTAGTTGAACTCTTAAAATTCTGGAATGTTTATTTTATTTTATTCATTGTCTTGAGAGGAGCAAAAGGAAGCGAGAGGGCATAGCTTTGAAGAACTGGCAATTTGGCAACTTCTCTCCCCTTGCCACCCCTCCCCCACTATCTTAGCTATTTGATCTGATTAAACAGCTTTGGAATGGTAGCCAGACTTCTGTATGCTAACGAGGCCCCTACCCTATTCGCGATTTAATGCGATTTCATCCCCCCAGAGCTTCCCGGTGCCCAGTGGAAGCCTGACTTCGCAGAAGTCTCCCAATTTTGTCAGGGGCTCGCCAGTGAAGAGTTCACACTGACTTGAAGCAGACACAGACTCATTGGACGCCTCGGGTCACATCGGATTATTCATTAGCAAATTCTTTCCACCTTCTATCTAAGTAGTGAAAGGTGACGCCAGAATCGCGTGTGCCACTCCTCTAAAGGGACCCTGATAACACCCAGTCCAGGCTCTACAACTTCTGCCTAGTCACTTGCTTCCTAGCAGTAGAAAGTTTCCAAAGGTTGCCTTAAGTCCTCCCTACCCCTAAGCCTAAAGATCAGAGCTCCAGGTCCCACCACCTAGCAGGAATCTGAGCATTTTGGAAGTTTCTGGTGTAGAGGGAAGAACCGAAGGGGTGGTAGCGGGGAACCGCGCAGAGTAACCCCCCTGCACTACGTAAGGAAAGCCCTGGCTGCAGGAGGGAGCGAGCCTGACATTGAGACGTTCCAGGGGGAGGGTGAGTTGCTGTCCTGGAGTCGCCAGGAACAGCAGCGACAGTTCCAAGAAGCGAGAGAGGAAGGTGGCCGAGATAAAGAGAACACTTCGGGAATAAGAATATTAAAAAGCGGCAGGACCCAGAGCATTAGCAAACGGCAGAGCACATGTAGTAATTTGTTAACACGAAACGGCAGCCTTCCAACTTTTGCACTGAAACACGGGGATTTACCCTTTGGGGGATTAAAAATGTTGATACGCAAAGCCAAAGGCTAATGAATAGGATTCAGTGGCTTGCTGGCAATATTTAAATATTTCTGTCCGGGAGCGCAAACTCTTCTGCAGTTATTTAGAAAAGTAGGGAGTTAAACCAAACTATAATACTCTCCCGTGCGTCTCCACTTTCCCCAGCCCGAAAAGGAGCTACCAGCGCTGTACTGCCCCTTTAAGACCTGCTGGCTCTCGGGCTCTACAAAAGGGAGTGACCTCTGGGCTTTGACAGCTCTCCTAATAACTACCACGGCGCAGGCCCCGCCCACCTAGCTACCAGCAGCGCCGATTGGCCGGCGGGCCGGTATCCCGCGCTGTGATTGGCCCGTCGCTTCCCCTGAGCGAACCTTTAGAACTCTGAGACAATATTCTGTTACATTGTAGCAAAATGGCGACTGTCATTCACAACCCCCTGAAAGCGTAAGTAAGACTAAAAAATGTACATATTCCGCGTGGTTTCAATATGAAAAAAAAGGCGCCTTCTGCGTGGCGAGCGCTGCCAGAGCATTGCGCTTGCAGGCGCCTCCAGCCGCGGCGGGGCTTCTCTCTTCTTTCAGCTCTTACTTCTTCATCTTCTTTTTTTCCCCCAACGCGCAGAAATGTCAGGAGATGCAATTAACAAGAAGAAAATTGTTACATTTGTGTTCTGCTAAATTGCAGAGAGAGCCAGATATAGGGGTTGCAGGCGGAGAAGCCCGGCGCTCGAGCGCTCTACAGCAGGAGGGTCGCGGGAGCTCGGGGACGGCGCGGTCCCCGGAGTCCCCCGCCTCGCGGGCAGGGAGCGCGGCTTCGGGGGCTGCTGGGCGGGGGGCGAGCGTCGGGCAGTGGCCGCCTCGGTGTACTTGGCCGAGCCCCGCGCCCCCGAGCCCGCGGCCCCCGCCCCGCCGCTGGGTCCGCTGGGTCCAGCGGACGGACCGCGGAGGCTCCGGAGTTTGCAGGGCGCTCTTCGCCTTCCGATCGCTCGCGGGGAGTTTGTGCAAACCTTCCGGAGTTGGAGCACCGCGGGGGAAGCAGCGGGTCCCGGGCGTGCTGGGGCCCAGGTGGTCGCCCCGGGCTTTCCCCGGCAGCCCCCGGATCTCGGAGGCGCTCCGGGCGATCGAGCGTGTGTCTGCTCGTGTATTTGCGAGCGAGCTGGCTTTAGTGGATTAACGACTCGGGTTAACTTGGGGTGGATTTGGAGGCAGGGAAGCCGCAGGTCTTATGAATGGTGTTCTCGCCACCTCTGGGTGAGGCGCTGAGGCAGGCGGAGAGGCGGTTTTGGGGCTCCTGGCCCGAGGGGGCAGCGTCTGCTCCCGGCCGGGCGAGGGGCAGGTGCCTCTGGCCGCCTCGGGGAGACTTTGAGCGCTTGCCCAGATCCTGGACAGAGTGGGGCGGGCCGGGCGAGGACTCGCGGGGGCCAGCCCCGGGTCCAACAGCCAATTTCTGCCTGCCTGCCTTCCTCCTCCTTTTCATCCTTCCTTCCTTCCTTCCTTCCTTCCTTCCTTCCTTCCTTCCTTCCTTCCTTCCTTCCTTCCTTCCTTCCTTCCTTCCTTCCAGTCAGTGGAACTGTTAAGCCGCCAAGTCCGCTCGCGATCGCGGAGCCAGGGGTGGCCTCGGAAAACTAGTGTCGCTCTGAAAGGGGTGCTATTGGGTGATGTCGGCAGAGGGTGGCTCCCTCCGTATCCGAGGTGGGCTGGGGGGTCCTCACCCCTTCGACCGGGACTTCCCCGCCCGGACGAAGCCGCAGGCGAAGTGGCAGAGGGAGGTGCAGGTCGGGTGGGGGGCGGTTCATGCCGAATTCTCCCTGGTGCGTGGCCGCTGTCGACCCTGGTTCTTTTAATTCAGCGCATTCTCGTCTTCACCCCTGGCCACTCCTGGAGTTGAAAACCAGGTTCGCTCCCGGGGACGGTAGGGGGTTCCTAACGCAAAGGAATGCACAGGGAGAATCGGACGTGTTTGCGCCAGCTCGTCGCCCATCAGAAATAGGGAAAGGGGTAGGAAGGCCCCAGGTTTCAAATATATTTATATGAAAGCTGCCGTTAAGAGGACGTTGGAAGCTGAGGCTGATCAGATAGGAGCTCCTGGCTTCAGTTCTGGCTCGGAAGCTCGGATACACTGCGCTTGAACGCCACAGCGTTTCACCCAAGAAAGAAAATGTTTTATGGCAGAATAAATGGGCGTAACTTCGCCGCATCCTCGCTGCCGGTTGCTTTCGCTGCAACACCGCTGATGCTGTTTCTACCGAACCCACAACTGATTTTCAGTTTCCCCATTTCCAGCCGAAATCACATAACCGGGCTGATGCCACCTGGTAAACTCAAGTTAGAGAACCTATTTCACATGTGCACCAGGTTTGTTTCCTCCTGGGAAAGCCGTACCCTAGTTACCCGGGAGCCCGCTTTCGCGCGGGCGGGCGCAGTATCTCTAAGCTTGTGTTCCCCTACTCGCTCCAGGGTTTTTTGGATCACAGTAGGGTGCGTGTTTGGGGAGGGAGTCTGTGTAGGGTGGGGTTAAGGGTGGGGGAAGGGACAGACGCGGGAAAGAAGGTGGCGGAATTCTGGCCGGTTAGTGGAATTAGTTCTGAATTGTACTTTGTATAATTAGAAACAGTTGCAACGTGATGTATTTGTAATTGTGTTGCCACCCACATGCAGACACTAGCATACACACAACGCCCCTGCTTGCTTTTTCTAGGTGGGAGTTGCTTGGTCATTTATAATTAGCTATTCCTTTCTGCTTCCCAGACCCTTTCCCTGTGAGTAAAGGGGTATAAACAATACCACTGACCAGCCCAGCCTCTCACACCCTGGACAGTTTTTGACAACTCCTAACGCAGGAGCACACACGTTGTTATTGGGAGAGGGACACCATCTGCCTTTATTTTTTTAAAAATAACTTGTTTAATAAAACATCTTATATATTTCATTTGTTTTTAAAAGTTGCTGATCAGGAAACAATACACACGTGAATAAATTATGCATGGGATAAATTAGAACAAAGTGCAGAGACACATCCAGCCGAAGGGATGGTGGTGGTGCAGGGAGGAGGGGTAGCGGGGAGAATGGTTTGGAGAGCTATGTTTTTATCCTCATGTGTCCCTCCTGACAATGAAACAGAGCTGAACGACATTAGCATTTTCTCTGTGTGCGTTCTGAGTCTCTCTCTTCCCTCCAAAAAAAAAAAAGCCAACACCACGGACGTCTCCTACAGAAAATGGTCACACAAAGGTTTCCTCAGGATGGGGGGATAAAGTGGTGGTAGTTAATGTGTTGGGAAGAAACAAGCTCAGATTTCCAGCAGCACCTATGCAGGGCTCTGCCTACGCTGAGTATGGGCTATTTTTCACTGTACTAGCTTTTTCCACGTGGGACATTCAATAATTCAATTAGCTGGGGTGATGGGATGGCACAATTTTGAATCTCATTGCTTTGGGGTTTTCCTTAGGGTCCCAAGCTCCTGAAGCCACATCTCCTCTCTTAGCAATTTGGCTTTCTTCCTGCCTGTCTTTGATCTCCCCTCAACTCCCTTTCTTTTTCTTCCTTGTTGTACCCTTCACCCCCTTCCTCTCTGAAGCTGACAGCCCAGCTTCTCTCTCTGTTGTCGCCTTTAACATCTTATTACTGCCCAACAGGGTGTTAGAGGCAGAAATAGGAGCCGCCTGCACTGATCAGATCACAAAGGGGACACGGCAGGTGGCCCCCACAACCAAGCAGTCACATCTGGACAAATAGAATTCAAAAGCACTGGTGGACATGTATGATGTGTAAATGTGTATTACATATTATTTAATTTAGCAGCTACATTGTCTGAGCAAAGATGTATGAGAGTTACCCTCATTTCTTACATATACAAGCGAGATAAGGCCCAGGTAGTGAAGTAAACACATGCAGGTAACATAAATATGGATTTGATAAAGGCCTGCATGTAGATTAGTCACGTTCTGGTTGATTTGTGCATACCTGGGAAACATAATGCTATTATTATTATTATTATTATCATTATTTTTTGAGACAGGGTGTTGCTCTGTTGCCCAGGCTGGAGTGCAGCAGCAGGATCTTGGCTCACTGCAACCTCTGCCTCCTGGGTTCAAGTGATTCTTGTGCCTTAGCCTCCAGAGTAGCTGGGATTACAGGCGCGCACCACTACACCTGGCTAATTTTTGTGTTTTTTAGTGGAGACGGGGTTTCTCCATCTTGGCCAGCTGGTCTCAAACTCGTGGCCTCAAGTGATCTGCCTGCCTTGGCCTCCCAAAGTGCTGGGATTATAGGAGTGAGCCACGATGTCTGGCCACATAATGCTTTTAATATAAATTTGAATCTTAATATTCTAGTTCAGATAAACCACCTTCCCCCAAATCTGCAATCAGTACTTTAAACAACTTACTCTTGTATTATCAAAATCCTGGTTGGTATGCATTTAACTGAGAATGTCTGCCACCTTCTGCCAGACTTGATTATACACATATATGTCTATTATTATAATTGCCTACTTAGAAAAAAATTATTATTATTAAATTCCATATGAACCAACAGGGCTTTACCTTAAGTAATTATTTATAAAGAGACCCATAAACTATTTTGTCATGCTTATAACTGTGAACACACACATATACGTGATTGTATTGAAACTTTCTTTTGTAAGGAGTTAACCTTGCTTGGAGGTATGTGTTTATGTCCCTGTTTTGTTGTTAAGAACACTACTCTGGGAGAAGAAAATAAACTTACTTAGCCAAGTCAAACAGCAGGTCATGTGTGTAGATGAACGTCAAATCTAGATCTCTTTGTGCATTCTATGACCTGTATTAGTGTATTCTAATCTAAAGTGGTTTTGTGCATGTGAAAGTTAGAAGCCAGACCTCACTCTTGCTGTGGCACTCAGTTTAGATATCAGAGGGGAAGGGGTGGGGGTCACATTCCTGGTTCTAATCTCCTCTTAGCTCTTTCTGTCGAGGTTGGGGGGATGTGGGTAGGTACTAAGTAGACAGCATTGAGGCCGGGACTTTGTGAACTTGCTGCCTTTTATGGACATTGTTTTAGCTTCTTATGAAAAAGGACCCTCGGACGTTGTAAGCCAACAGATTCCCAAGAACCTGTTCTCCATCTGCTTCTGGTTGCCACTATAAAAAAGCCCTAAATTCTCCAAACCTCATTAGCACACATTATTTTTCAATGGGTAAATGTCTGCTTTTGATGAGACACCTATGATGGAGATTAATGTCTGCGAGAACCCAAGTGGAGGCATTGTCACAGGGTAAACCTCTGAAAATAGCCTGGTCTGCAGGCCTCCCGGGAGACATTGAAGACTGCCAGTTGAATGGGAGCTGCTTAGTCACATAAGGTGGGCTTGAATTCAGAGACAGCTGAGTTGGAGACCTCTCATCCTCCTCTTTTTGGAATCATGCAGGTAGCTGGAATTTGGATACATCTGAGAAAGACCATAATGTCTAAAGCTGTTTCAGAGCCATCTGTTCAGATCAATGCAAAAAATAAAATGTCATGGTCAGCATGTTTTGTTTTGATCATGCACCAGAAAAAGAATGGAAACTGAGGCTGATGTTTCAGTTTTCTAAGGCAGCTATGCTGACAGTAGTGGCGATGGGGGCTGGGTCATAAAGAGGCACCAGAATCCAGGCCTGTTTATTATCCCAACCTCTGCAAAGTAACTTTTGTGGTTTTTGAGTGTTTTGAAAGTCACTAGAAAACAGAAATGTAGCCAAATGTTGCAAACCTCTGGCCAAAAAAATCCCACAACCACTGAAATATTTTTTGCCCAGCTACGACCCAACAGGGGAATTTGTAAGCATGGCCCTAATTTTAAATAGTCTTTAAATATGAAGGTAGTTAACAAGGAAAGATGGAGAGTGGCCTTGGGTAGGGGGAGGATGGAGGAGTGGGTAAAACCACTGTGTGGTATGGAACTCTGCAAAGATTGTTGTTGAACTGCAAGAGAGACTGATATTGTGATCCATTGCAAATTCCAAAGTTTTCTAGTTGTTTGAGTGACTGGGGAGAGATGAGGTGTTGTAGTGTTTTTGTAATTTGTTTTTCTTATTGGTCCGGTTACTGGTGTTTCACAGTCTGTCAAACCATATGGATGAATGGAGCTAGCATCGTAAAACTGTCACTGAGGGAAGGTTTTTGAAGCCTGTGATTTGCATTAGAGTTTTAAAAGCAGTGGTTAGGAGGTGTTGGTGGGGCAGAGGGAAGAGGAGCAGACTGGAGAATTTCTAGGCTGTGTGTTTGTGAATATTAGTGTGGCAGGCAGTGGCAAGGGAAGGGAGAGAATCCCTGAAGAGGTTACAATTTAGGGGCAATGTGTGGAAGCAGGGAGGGGTGAGAGGATTAGGTTCAGAGCTCCTAATAATGGGGTTCAAATAGCCCGCATTGAGTCCTCACCAGCCAGGCCTCAGTTCTGAGCCTGCGGAACAATGCTGGCACATGTCTAATCCCCACTTTGCACCCTCTCCTCCCTCTCTGAATCTGGGGACTGTGATCATCTCAGGTTGCTGATAAAAGGTTTTTTTTTAGTTGTTGTTATTCACCTTGAAAATCTGCTGTTTGAATGATCTGCACTTGGAAGCTCCACCAGAAAGTTTTTCCCATCCTCACACTTTCACCTGCTATTGATGAAACCCGTCTCAACCTCTTTTCCTCTTCCATGTTCATTTCTCACCAGTGGCTGATTTTTTGTAGCCTTAGTGACTTCAGAGTAATGGAGGAGAAAAAGCTCTGGGAGAGGAATCCCAAGCCTTGAGCTCCGCTTCCAGAGCTACAGGCAACTAGCTTGTGATCTGGGACACAGAACTTTGAGCCGCATATTCCTTGTCTTTATGATGGTGATGTACTTTGATTCCCCAAATTCCTTTCAAGCCAACAACTTTCTGGCTCTTATTATGGTGGATTAGGACAGAGAGGACAGCTAGGGGCCAGAGTTCTGATTTTTTCTTATTTTTAAAGTGTGGCTCTAAAGAGAACATTTAAGACTGGAGACTTCCACAGTTTCTTATTCTCTGATTCAGTCTTGCTACATGGTGCTCCCTTCTTGGGGTTCTAAGCTGGGTGGAACTTCCTATCCCTTCTCAAGGTCTGAGGCTGAGGACCAGGTGGTGGGCCATTTAGAATGTGGGCTTTTCCTCTGGCTCTTCCTTTTCAGTGATTTTCTTCTCACTAGCATCCCATCCAGAAGCTGATGAGAATGAGGAACTTGAAGACCAATTGGCCTATTTTGACGTGGATAAGCACTCAGTTTTTGGTGGTTAAAAGACTGGAATCACTGAGAACATCTGTATTTTGCTTCCTTTTGTGTGTGTGTGTGTGTGTGTGTGTGTGTGTGTGTGTGTGTGTGTTTGGAGGCAGAAGGGTAACCAATTTTCCAGCCAGTCCTCCGGTCTGGACTTTATTTGTCCATGATCTCTCTGGCCTTCTCCTCTACCATGGCACCTATCCCAATTAATCTGAAAATAAAGTGCTTATTTTATTTTAATTTGGGCAGCCACAGATACCTGGATGTTTAGTGAGCTGAAGTAAGTGGACCTGTACTGATGTCTCACTGAGCTTCCTCTAGCATACCTGTGTTACTGCTGAGGAAATGGAGGTGCCCAGCAGTTGTGTGGAACTAGCCCCTACCTGAGTGGGTATTAGCCAAGACTAGACTGGACTTCATGCCTCCCCTTCAGTGACATGTCTCCAGAACATCTCAGATTTCAGTGGGGACATTATTATCAGGCTTTTCTTTGGTGGAAAGCTTCCATGGCAGTTTTTTTGCAAGCATAAAGAGAAGGGGGAGGAGGTTGCAGAACTCATCAGAGTCTACACAGGAGCTGGTGTGTAAATTCTGAGACTTTAAAGAGAAAACAAAATGGTCACCCTGACCTCCAGCAGAGAGAGGCATTCCCTCAATTTTTCTTTATTGTGCTAAAATATACATAACACACAGTGTACCATTTTAGCCATTTTAAAGTGTGCATTTCAGTGGCATTAAGTACATTTATTTCTAATCTTTAGTAGAGATGGAGGTCTTGCTATGTTGCTCAGACTGGTCTTGAAATCATGGCCCCAAGGGATCCTCCCACCTTGTGCAACCATCACCACCATCAGTTTCCAGACCCTTTTCTTTCTTTCTTTTTTTAGATGGAGTCTCGCTCTGTCACCCAGGCTGGAGTGCAGTGACGCGATCTTGGCTCACTGCAACCTCCGCCTCCCAGGTTCAAGTGATTCTCTTGTCTCAGTCTCCCGAGTAGCTGGGACTGTAGGCATGCGCCATTACACCTGGCTAATTTTTGTATTTTTAGTAGAGACAGCATTTCACCATGTTGGCCAGGCTCGTCTCGAACTCCTGACCTCAGATGATCCACCCGCCTCAGCTTCCCAAAGTGCTGGGATTATAGGCATGAGCCACCGTGCCCAGCTGCCCAGACCCTTTTCATCATCCCGGAGAGAAACTTTGTATGCATTAAACAATACTTTTCCATCCCCTGCTTCCTACCATCCCTGGGAACCACCATTCTGCATTCTTAGCACCCCATATCAGGGGAAACATACAATATTTGTTCTTCTGTGTCTGGCTTATTTCACTTAGCATAATGTCTTCAATGTTTGTTCATCCATGTTGTAGCATAGTCAGAACTTGATTCCTTTCTATGGCCATTGTATGGATAGCCCACTTTTTGTTTACCTGTTTAACTGCCGATGGGCATTTGGGTTGTTTCACCTTTTGGCTGTTTTTGAGTCCCCATTTTCATTTCTTTTGGGTTTTCACTATGCCTAGGTCTCCTTCATTTTTGGACTGTAAAATCTAGGGACTAAGCTAGGCTCATGCCTGTAATCTTAGCACTTTGGGAGGCTGAGGCAGGAGGATCCCTTGAGCTCAGGCATTCAAGACCAGCCTGGACATATCATGAGACCCTGTCGCTACAAAAAATAAAAAAAAAAGCCGGGTGTGGTGGTGTACACCTGTGGTCCTAGCTACTCGGGAGGCTAAGGCAGGAAGATGGCTTGAGCCCGGGAGGTTGAGGCTGCAGTGAGCTGTGATCACGCTACTGTACTCCATGTACTCCAGCCTGGGTGACAGAGCAAGACCTTATCTCAAAAAACAAACAAACAAACAAACAAACAAACAAACAAACAAACCCAAAAAATTAGCGGCTACATTTCTAGATAATATAGGCATTCTCCACCTTATAAACTAAACAAACAAAAAAACCCAAACCTAATAGTATTACAGAATTCAACCTCTCTGCCTCTCCCTCTATTGGTAGTCCATTGCGTTCTGGGATAAACACACTGGGAACTAGGAACCCAGAGACTCAATTCTCCCATCCCCAGCCACAGGGATTGCCTTCCCCTCATATCCCCCTTCCTGTTTTTTTTTTTTGAGACGGAGTCTCGCTCTGTCGCCCAGGCTGGAGTGCAGTGTCGCGATCTCGGCTCACTGCAAGCTCCACCTCCCGGGTTCACGCCATTCCCCATTCCCCGGGCTCAGCCTCCCGAGTAGCTGGGACTGCAGGCGCCCGCCTTACGCCCGGCTAATATATATATATATATATATATATATATATAGTATTTTTAGTAGAGACGGGGTTTCACCGTGTTAGCCAGGACGGTCTCGATCTCCTGACCTCGTGATCCGCCCGCCTCGGCCTCCCAAAGTGCTGGGATTACAGGCGTGAGCCACCGTGCCCAGCCTATATCCCCCTTCCTTTGAGGGCAGGGACTCCTCGTGGGGGTCAGGGTTTGGGTTTGAGGCAGTTCCAGGGGCTGTAGCACTAGCAGTTACCTGGTGAGGCTTGGAGTGAAGGCTTCCTAGGTGGATGGAGATGTGATGTCTGACAACAGGAGGTGGGTGGAAGCACGGTGATGACAGGATAGCTTGGGGGGCAGGAGTTAGCAAGTCAGGCCTGTCCTTCCAAACAGCCAGGAGAGCTTGTGTCTCCCTTCTCCTCCCTTCCCCTTCCTCCAGCCTGGCTTCCCCGCAGCGGCCCACATGAAATAATGGATGTGGAAACATTTCAGAAGGTGGAAAGTGCAAATGTGAGGTGTTACTATGAGAACTAAAAGTTTCCTGTAGCTGATCATGGCCTCCTCAGGCAGTCAATAATACCTACTATATTAAACATTATTTTAAATATTAAAACAAAAATAAATGTTTCTGGCATTACCCATCACATCTAATCATTGTTTCTCAGGAAATGCAAGGTCTACTCATCCAGGCTGTGTAAATAGCCCTGGGATCTCAGTGGGATTTTCCTATTGTCTGGGTTTGAAATAAGTGAGAATGTGAGCTCAGGGGAAACCCTCATTTCATTTCCGGTCATAGCCCTGACCTGAGTTCACCCACCAAACCAGAGGAAGCAGAAGCGCGGTTGGTAGAGTGGGGTGCTCTTCTGGGAACTTGGGCCTTTGGTCCTTGCCTGGTCTCTGGCTCCTCCTTCAACTGAGATGACTGAGGGAGAGAGAAGAAGTGGAGGCGGGGCAGGGGCTTAGATCTGCTTGTGAATAAGGAGAGTGAGCTGTTGGCATTGGAGGTCAGTGGCAAGAATGGATTCTTTTTCTTTTTCTTTTTTTTTTTTTTTTGAGACAGAGTCTCACTCTGTCGCCTAGGCTGGAGTGCAGTGGCGTGATCTTGGCTCACTGCAACCTCTGCCTCCCACGTTCAAGTGATCTTGTACTTCAGACACAGGAGTAGCTGATATTAAAGGCACATGCCACCACACCCAGCTAATTTTTGTATTTTCAGTAGAGATCGGGTTTTATCATGTTGGCCAGGCTGGTCTCGATCTCCTGACCTCAAGTGATCTGCCCACCTGGGCCTCCCCACGTGCTGGGATTACAGGCGTAAGCCACCATGCCAGGCCAGATTCTTTATAGAAAAGTAGACCAGAGAGCATTGCGGTGGGGTCAGATCTCAGAGTTACATGCATGTCTTGGTTGCCAGCCTTGGAAGTGGTTCAGATTCAGTCTTGCTGCAAAGCTACAACTTTCTTTATTTTCTTTTCTCATATATTTTTTGGAGATAGGGTCTCACTCTCACCCAGGCTGGAGTGCAGTAGTGCGATCACTCTGTCACCCAGGCTGGAGTGCAGTGGTGCCATCACAGCTCACTGTGGCCTCAAACTCCTTGACTCAAGTGATCTCCCACCTCAGCTTCCCAAGTAGCTGGGACTACAGGTGCGTACTGCCACACTTAATTTTTAATTTTTTTATAGAGATGGGGGTCTCACTGTGCTGCCCAGGCTGGTCTTGAACTTCTGGCCTCAAGTGATCCTCTTACCTCAGCTTCCCAAAATGCTGGGATTGCAGGTGAAAACCACTGCACTTACTTGGCCCTGCAACTTTCCTTTACAAGAGCAAATGAAGCAAAAAACATCATCCCTACTCCTGCTGTCCTCAACCAGCAACTCTCGATACATCTTTGGCTGCCAGTTGAGCACAACGAGAACTCTCTCATCCTCTTTGGAGTTCCTTCATCCCACAACCAACATGGATTGCCTGCCTGCCCCTGAGAACTAATCAGCACAGCCACCTGACTCCCTCCCTACATCGAGGAGCTTCCACTCCAATAGAGACTTCTGATCTGTCTGTTTCTTCTCCTAGACCCTTGTTTTTTGGCAGGGCAAAGTAAGTGCTAGCAAACCAGGAGGCTGACTGCTGCCCTCGGCTTTTCCTAGGAAAACCACTATAGGTGAGGGGAGTGGGGAGAGGGGCGGCAACGCGGTGCTGGTGATAGGGGGAGGGCAGGGTGGATGGGGCAGTGGGAGGGGAGAGAATATATTCTCTCCTGCTAATTATTTTCCCTGAGGACTTAGCCAATGCAGAACCATCTATTATCGTGGGAGCGCTCTATGGTAGTTCTGCCTGTGATGAATGCTAAGTGGAAACAAGCAAGAAAAATTAACAGGCGGCTGCTTCTGTCCACCTAATTAAAATGCATATCCAAATGCATAATTCCTTATGTTTCCCCATGCACACACTCCCCTTCCAATCCCAGTTCTATGGAGGAGAAAAAAACACTTTCCCCCAATCATTTCTCTTGATTATATTTTCATCAAGGAAGAACTGGAGGGTTTCCCCTTAGAATAGAGAAGGGCCTGTTCTTCTAACACTTCTGAAATAGCTGGCTTTTGACTTAGATTGAGCCCCAAAATTTGGAGCTCTTTTTCATTTTACACACAAAAACTAGCTGCAGAAAAAAGGGAGAAGGAAAGAAGTAAAGAAAGAAAAAAGAGTTCCCACCATTTCTGCTGACCTTTTAGTTTTGTGTTAAAAGTCTGGCTTTGATCAGCAATGACAATTTTGAGGATCTTTTCTGTCTTTTCTTCCTCTTCATTACTTTCCCTGACTCTGCACTGCCTTCCCTGGTCCCTCAGATAAACATAACCCAAGTTTTGTAGAGAGATTTTAGAAGACGAAGACACAGCTACCTTTGCAGATCAAGTAGAAAGAAAAAAAACCCAAAGCTTCGGCCTTTGGGGGCGATATCAGAGGTTCCAACGTCACAGTCCTAAGTATGTTTTGAATCAGACAATACCTCTTCATCCTTATCTTCCCCCCCTTCACTTACCCAGCTCATCATTTTCTCCCTCTCCAAAGAATAACTTTATTCAGTGGTCATAAAATATTTAATAAAACATGAAACTTAAGTCACTGTGTTCAATTTGCCATCACAGCCATCTCAGTGGCAGACCCCCTTCCCCCAGCTGGCCCACCCCCTCCTGAAGCCCCTTGCCTGCCCTCCACAGCAGCCCCAGCTGTTGATTTATCAGGGCTGGCCGGCTCAGCAGTGCATGGAGATTGCTTTTAATTAACTCTCTTCATTTTTCCCAATCTTCAGGGAGCAGCAGCCCTTTAATGATTTTAATATTTTATTTGGATTTATATCTGCCTTATTTGTTGTTTGACATCCGCATTTGTTCTTCCTGAATCACCTCCAGACTGATATATTTATTTGCCCCTTTTCCTCCTACCCCCAAGACCTTTCAAGGGAAGGGACGGTGGATTCCGAAGAAGGCCGTCTTCCCAGGCTTCCCACTATCGACACAGGGAGAATACCCAGTGTTGGCCTTATGTGATGGTTTGGACTGGAAACTTTGTCTTGGGAAACCCAGTCTCACCTGCCTCTTAGCTTAAGGAGTTTCTGAGCTTTGTGTTAAAAACAACAACAACAGCAACAACAACAACAACAACAACAACAACAACAACAACAACAGCTCTGAATTTTAGAGAATGAGATCTCTTTGCCTCTTTCATGCCTCTGTAAGGGAGTGAGTTGCCTTGGAGAGTTGGTTAAAAACTGCTTCCCCAGTTTCACTGTTAGAAGTAGTTTGAGGTCTATCATCCTGCTCACCCCAGCCTTCCATAGTTCAGTGGGGTTTTTGGAGCTGCAGGAGGATGATGGCTTTAGGGAAGGACTGGATGTACGTTCAGTCAAGTCTTCCTGCTGCTTTATGCGTCTTTAGGTGTGGGTGGCATCTGTTAAGCAACTTCTTGGAAGAGTAACCATAGGTACAATCTGAAAGAGGAAGTGAAGAGGCACCAATTGCCTTCTCTACTGGAGGCTGCCTTCTCCACTGGAGGCTGCCTTCTCCTTTAACCCTCAGTTCCCCTTCTCATGCCTATTCCCTAGAGGTGGGAAAACATACAACCAGCAGAACACTTTCCAGCTGGGTGCAATGGCTCATACTTGTAATCCCAGCACTTTTGGAGGCCTAGGTGGGCAGGTCGCTTGAGCCCAGGAGTTCGAGCCAGCCTGGGCAACAGGGCAAAATCCCATAGAAAAACTAGTTGGGTGTGGTGGCACGCGCCTTTAGTCACAGTTATTTGGGAGGCTAAGGTGGGAGGATCACCCGAGCCCAAGAGGTTGAGGCTGCAGTGAGCCGTGTTTGTGTCACTGCACTCCAGCCTGGGCAACAGAGTGAGACCGTGTCTGAAAAAACAAAAAACAATGCCTTTCTATCTTTCTCCTCTCAGCCTACCTTTGGCTGCAAAGTCTACTCCTTACCCCAACAGCCCCAGGGAGGCCTGACAAATAGACTTATGAGGGGCTGGTTTCAGAACTAGCTTGTCCACAAAATGCCCTTTTTGGCATCTGGGTTTGGTGATGTGTCTTCAGGGTTACTCGTTGCTAGGCAACTGCCAACTAAAGTTTGAGCCTGATCTGGCGATTGCAGTGAATTGCTCTGGGTGACTTGAATCCACATTTAGGGACTCCAATATGCAATATTGGCTCCAGGAACAGGAGGCTGAGAAGACACTCTTCCATGTGGCTTTATGGAAAGAGATACTGGTTTTTAAAGTCTAGCCCAGAGCCTGGCACACAGTCAGTACACACAGGTATTTGTTTTGGTGATGCCAATGGTAATTTCTTTCCATCTGCTTATACTGGAATGCTCTTCTCATCCCTTTAGTTCTGCTAGTTCTGAAAACTTACTATGTCTGTTACTGAGCCATATGCAGGAGACAGACAGGGAGAAACTGGATTCTATACCACAGTCTAGTGTGCAGGCTACTCAGTCTTGATGGGTGTTTCTTTTTCACCTTTCTTTGGCAATCACAGGCCCTTTCAAGAATCCTATGAAAGTTGTGGATCATCTCCCCGGAAAACACGCATATAGATGTGAACATCTGCCTATGGTTTTATGGGGTTCACAGACCTGGAAGAGCCCATCTCTGGATGCCCTGGAGGCCCATGGGCTCTAGGGTAAGAACCTCAGTGTGAGAGACGTGTGTGAACTTGTTAGTCTGAGGGGATGCTCTGTGTCCCTGCCCAGAGAGACGACTCTTGTCACACATTCCCCTGGTGTCTGAGCAAACTGCTTGTGGCTCCTCTGGGCAGGCGGTTTCCTCTGGGCAGGCGGTTTGATTGTCCTCCACCTCCACCCTGTCCCTGGGCGCACTTGATGCACATCTGTCATCTTCTGGATGGTTTAAGTGGTCCCTCTCCCTGGTGGAGCCCTTGCTGACCCTCAGGTAGAACTGGCCACACCTGCCCTGGGCCATGCAGAGCTGAACATACTCTTCTCTCTCAGTCACTGAAATAATTGACAGGAGTTAGTTAGCAGTAAGGGCGTGGAAGGCAGGGACAGTAGCCACATATGCCTTTCTTTTCTTTTTTTTTTTTTTTTGGAGATGGAATCTCTCTCTGTCTCACCCAGGCTGGAGTGCAGTGGTGCGGCTCACTGCAACCTCCACCTCCTGGGTTCAAGCGATTCTCCTATCTCGGCCTCCTGAGTAGCTGGGACAATAGGTGCACACCACCATACCCAGCTAATTTTGTATTTTTAGTAGAGATGGCGTTTCACCATGTTGGCCAGGCTGGTCTCAAACTCCTGACTTCCAGTGATCCACCCGCCTCGGCCTCCCAAAGTGCTGGGATTACAGGCATGAGCCACCAAGCCTGGCCACATGTGCCTTTCTGTCCCAAGGACCTAGCCTAGCAGGCACGTAGGAAACGTGTGGGGAATAGTTGAGTGAGCGAAGCCTGCAGGCAGATACCCTGCTCTGCTGCCCAAGTTTGCTTTTAGCACTCTAGAAAGTTGACATGTTTCTCATTCTCTGCCTTCACGGCAGGAATCTGAAAAAGGCAGAATTCCTCCCCAAAGAGCCTTCAGTTTCAGGAGTTGGGAAACAGATGCAGGTTTGGCCTTGCTTGCATGTAGGATGTGCATTTATGACATGTGGCAGCCTCGCTCATTCTAGCCTCTTGTTTCTTGGTCACTTTAAAAAGCTTGGCTTTCTCCCTTTGGTCTTGAGAAATAAAGACAAACCTTTTTGCTTTGCTTTCTTTCAGGGGAGTAAGTAACCTCTGGCTTATGGATAGCCACTGATAAATCAACTTCATTTTTATTCAGTGCCTCCTCTATGCTTAGCTGTGTGTGGGATTTCCTTTAGCTTTATTTATACTGGAGGATTCTTTTTTCTTTTGAGTTTTTAAGATAGAGAAGACCAGAAGATGCAAAGCACTGTAATGGTTTAAACCCAAGGCTGGGTTCTGGTGAACATCTGCTGTCTGTTCCATGGAGCTTTAGTCCAGTCACTGTTTTTGGATACATCTTCTTTGAGAGAATGCCTTTTGTATACTTTCACAGTATCAATGCCTAGAGAGAGAATGATTTTCCCTACGACTCTGTGTCCCAACCAAGTATAGCAGATCACTTCATTCATCCTTCAAAAAGGATGGCCTAGGGCTCAAGTGAGGGCCTTTCTCTCTTGTATTGAGAGAGATAGAGATACCAGCGTATCATTATAACTTTTGTATGTCCTCCAAATAATTCTGTGTTGGGGGCTTTTTGGAAGAGGGTACCACCAGAAAGAGGCCTGAAGGAGGAAGAGGAAGTCCCAAGGTGGACACGGACTCCCAGGGTCAAGTTTCAGTTCAGATCCTGGTCTGAAAGACATCCTTCAACATGGAAAGCCAGAGAAAATGCTGATGGTGTGCCAAATATGGGCTGCAGGAGCCGAATTGTAGAAAAATATTCGTTAACTCAGAGAGGTCATATTGCACTAGCAACCTACTCACAAAGGTAAGTCTCCCTCAATCCCAGTTCAGGACAGAGGGTGACACAGGGCTGTCCGGTTCCTGGCACTCATTTTCTTTCTGGGCAGCCATCTGAGTATAACAGATACTTATACATATTCTGTCCTCATTTTATCTAATTACACATGTCTCTGGGGGATGGGAAACAGGTTCGGACCATTCAATTTTAGGTCACTTATGCACAGGGTAGCAGGGATGAACGCTAATCTATAGTTTTATGAGATTTAGGAAGTTCTCATAGTTCCTCAGTCCAGAGCACACCAGGGGGACATTGTTTGTCATCTCAGGGGCTGAAGATCCCAGCGAGTGTCAGAGGAGAGATGGAGGCTGCCTGGCTTGTGAGTCTGAATTCTGAAACCTTTTTGAGACCTTGCTAGCTCTTGCTATCCTTGCAGCAGTAGGATGCTTGTTTTATTATTTTATAATCTGCTGAATGAAGAGGACCCAATACTATCAGTCCCCATCCTGCTGGTCATTTGTTCTCATCCCTTTCCTGCTTGGAATGTGTTGATTCCCTGAGAAATGCAGAACAAAAGGCGCTCCTGCTCCCAAATGATGGAATAATCTTTATTGCCCAACATTGTCCTGGGTGTGTGCCTCCTTTGCTGCCCAGAGGAACTGGTCTGGATAGTATAAAAGCTCCACAGCATCTCCACCTCTCTCCAAAACTCAGAGCCGGCAGCCCTGGACAGCCCACTCTCCTCCAGGCTCTACTGTAGCTTTTCAAATCCTTGGGAAGAAAAAGCCCGCTGGAAAGCCTTTCCTTTTTCTTTTGCTTTCTGCTGCTTATTTCATTTCTTGACTAAGAGCTAAGCTGCCCCAAGGCCCTCAGAGCCCTGAGTTTGCACCTCCAGCCTAGGTTTCCTTCTGATCCCTGTCCCCTCCTTCATTCACTATTTACGTCTTTCTCCTTTCCTCCATGAATTGCACCTTGATCAAAAAGCACTGAAGGGGCACAAAGGAAGGAAAGAGTATTCTGGCTTTGTCCCCAAGGAGGGCCCACTCAATCTCATGAATATGGGAGTGGGGAGAGGGAAGGAGGAAAAGGACAAAGCTTACAGGCAGCAGAGCATGCATTCCTGAGAGAAGCTGCTTCACGTGAGGTTCCAGGTGGTGAATAGCTGCGCTAAACGATCAGCCTAGGCCACCAGGGGTCCTTGAAATTGGAAGACAGACAGCAGTTCCTGTGGCTGGGATGACAGAGGATGCTTCAGAGAGGAGCTGAGTTCAGAAGGACAGTGGGGTCTGGTTAGGCTCGGGAGGGTGAGGCTGGGGAACTTTAGTCACCAAAGGGAAGTGAACAAAGACGTGAGGCGTTTGAGCGATTCCTTTGGGGACACCCTTCCTTTCTGAGGGAAGGAAGGCCAGATGGGAAGGACTGCATGGAGGAGAGCACACAGATCTGTTTGGCTGGTTGGGAGTAGGTGGGGGGTGTCCGTGAACAGAAGGGAAAAATGAGAAATAAGCCTGGGCCAGGTTGGTCTGAGCAGAGTCCCGGTTTGGCAGTCACTGTTTGGGGAGACTCATACTCCTCATCGTCCAAAAGAGAGGCTCCAGGGGGAGGGTGGGGTGGTCATCCTGTGTCCTCCAGCAAGGGGGATTGTCTGTCTCCAGTCTTCCCTCTCACTAAGGGGTTGAACTGGACCCCGTCCTTGGTTTCATTTGTTATGCATTTTGGATACTTTCCAGGGGACCACCCAGAGGGGTGGGGTGAGGGAGACACCCTGTGGGGCCCACACTGGTGTGAGCCATCAATCCTGTCAGCTACAGGCCAGCTCTGTCCAGCTGCAAGGGCCGATTTGCAACGCTGGGCAGACTTGTGGGCAGAGCCCACCTGAGCAGTGGACCCAAATGACTTCTTCCCTTTCTGTACTTTAATCCTCCTTCTCCTCCTTCTCTTCCTCCTCCTCCTCTTCTTCTTCTTCTTCAACAACAACCAATAAATGATGTAAATAAAATATATAAATCCAATCCAAGGAGGAAAATGTAAATGCCAACCTGTGTAGCTTAAAGCATGGTGCCCTGAGGATTAGTTTCATGATTCAAATAGGGGAGAGTGAGGCTGCAGGTCTCTAAGACAGTGGGTTTCCTCCTAGGGGGATCGGGGTGGTTTATTCTGATGGTAGTGCTGCCTGGTTCCCACCCAGACACCCCTGCCACTGCTGCAGCTGTCTACCTGTGTGCTGGCCACTTCCTTCCAGAAATGCCCTGGGCCTAGTTTTCACGGGGAGGCTGGGGGTTACACAAGTCCTTAGGGTTCGTTCCTTGCATACTTTGTAAGCTTTGCACACTTTGTAAGCTCAGACACTCCATGGTGGGGAGCAGGAGGCTGGGAGCAGTTGCTGTGTGACCCACGGCTTGGGTGCAGCCTCTGGAGCCAGAGAGTTTGGGTTCAAGTTCAAGCCCTATGGCCTTGGGTAGGATTCCTAACATCTATGCCTTAGTTTCCTCATATGTAAAGTAGGACTAATAGTTTTTGTCTTTATGGGGTTGTTGGAAGAATTAAGCAAGTTAATGTATGTAAAGTGCTTAGTAGAGTCGGCACACAATATCCTTTTTTTGAGACAGGGTCTTGCCCTGTTGCCCAGGCTGGAATGCAGTGGCGCAATCATGGCTCACTGCAGCCTCGACCTCCCAGGCTCAAGCAATCCTCCCACCCCAGCTTCCCAAGTGGCTGGGACCACAGGTGTGCACCACCACACCCAGTTAATTTTTGTATTTTTAGTAGTGATATGGTTTGGCTGTGTCCTCACCCAAATCTCAACTTGCATTGATCTCCCAGAATTCCCATGTGTTGTGGGAGAGACCCATGGGGAGGTAATTGAATCATGGAGGCCAGTCTTTCCCATGCTATTTTTGTGATAGTGAATAAGTCTCACAAGATCTGGTGGGTTTATCAGGGGTTTCAGCTTTTGCTTCTTCCTCATTTTCTCTTGCTGCTGCCATATAAGAAGTGTCTTTCACTTCCTGCCATGATTCCGAGGCCTCCCCAGCCACGTGGAACTGTAAGTCCAATTAAAACTCTTTTTCTTCCCAGTCTCAGGTATGTCTTTATCAGCTGTGTGAAAATGGACTAATACAGTAATTGGTACCAATAGAGTGGGGCATTGCTGAAAAGATACCCGAAAATGTGGAAGTGACTTTGGAACTGGGCAACAGGCAGAGATTGGAACAGTTTGAAAGGCTCAGAAGCAGACGGGAAAATGTGGGAAAGTTTGGAACTTCCTAGAGACTTGTTGAATGGCTTTGCCCAAATGCTAATAGCGATATGGATAATAAAATCCAGGCTGAGGTTGTCTCAGATGGAGATGAGGAACTTGTAGAGAACTGGAGCAAAGGTGACTCTTGTTATGTTTTAGCGAAGAGACTGGCGGCATTTTGCCCCCTCCCCTAGAGACTCCCCTAGAGATTCGTGAAACTTTGAACTTGAGAGAGATGATTTAGGTTATCTGGTGGAATAAATTTCTTTCTTTTTCTTTTTTTTTTTTGGAGACGGAGTCTTGCTCTGTTGCCTAGGCTGGAGTGCAGTGTCAGGATCTTGGCTCACCACAACCTCTGCCTCCTGGGTTCAAGTGATTCTCCTGCCTTAGCCTTTCGAGTAGCTGGGACTATAGGTGTGCATCACCATGCCTGGCTAATTTTTTTGTATTTTTAATAGAGACGGGGTTTCACTATGTTGGCCAGGCTGGTCTTGAACTCCTGACCCCGTGATCTGCCCATCTTGGCCTCCCAAAGTGCTGGGATTATAGGTGTGAGCCACTCCACCTGGCTTGGTGGAAGAAATTTCTTTTTTTTTTTTTCTTATTGATTTCTGCTTTAATCTTTATAATGCTTCCTATCTCCTGCTTGTTTTAGGTTGAATTTGTACTTCTTTTTCTAGATTCTTTTTTTTTTTATCATACTTTAAGTTTTAGGGTACATGTGCACAACATGCAGGTTTGTTACATATATATACATGTGCCATGTTGGTGTGCTGCACCCATTAACTCGTCATTTAACATTAGGTATATCTCCTAATGCTATCCCTCCCCTTCCCCCCACCCCACAACAGGCCCCGGTGTGTGATGTTCCCCGTCCTGTGTCCATGTGTTCTCATTGTTCAGTTCCCACCTATGAGTGAGAACATGTGGTGTTTGGTTTTTTGTCCTTGTGATAGTTTGCTGAGAATGATGGTTTCCAGCTTCATCCATGTCCCTACAAGGGACATGAACTCATCATTTTTAATGGCTACATAGTATTCCATGGTGTATATGTGCCACATTTTCTTAATCCAGTCTATCATTGTTGGACATTTGGGTTGGTTCCAAGTCTTTGCTATTGTGAATAGTGCCGCAATAAACATACATGTGCGTGTGTCTTTATAGCAGCATGATTTATAACCCTTTGGGTATATACCCAGTAATGGGATGGCTGGGTCAAATGGTATTTCTAGTTCTAGATCCCTGAGGAATCGCCACACTGACTTCCACAATGGTTGAACTAGTTTACAGTCCCACCAACAGTGAGAAAATGTTCCTATTTCTCCACATCCTCTCCAGCACCTGTTGTTTCCTGACTTTTTAATGATCACCTTTCTAACTGGTGTGAGATGGTATCTCATTGTGGTTTTGATTTGCATTTCTCTGATGGCCAGTGATGATGAGCATTGTTTCATGTGTCTTTTGGCTGCATAAATATCTTCTTTTGAGAAGTGTCTGTTTATATCCTTCGCCCACTTGTTGATGGGGTTGTTTGTTTTTTTCTTGTAAATTTGTTTGAGTTCATTGTAGATTCTGGATATTAGCCCTTTGTCAGATGAGTAGATTGCAAAAATTTTCTCCCATTCTGTAGGTTGCCTGTTCACTCTGATGGTAGTTTCTTTTGCTGTGCAGAAGCTCTTTAGTTTATTTAGATCCCATTTGTCAATTTTGGCTTTTGTTGCCATTGCTTTTGGTGTTTTAGACATGAAGTCCTTGCCTATGCCTATGTCCTGAATGGTATTGCCTAGGTTTTCTTCTAGGGTTTTTATGGTTTTAGGTCTAACATTTAAATCTTTAATCCATCTTGAATTAATTTTAGTATAAGGTGTAAGGAAGGGCTCCAGTTTCATTTTTCTCCATATGGCTAGCCAGTTTTCCCAGCACCATTTATTAAATAGGGAATCCTTTCCCCATTGCTTGTTTTTGTCAGGTTTGTCAAAGATCAGATAGTTGTAGATATGCGGCATTATTTCTGAGGCCTCTGTTCTGTTCCATTGGTCTATATCTCTGTTTTGGTACCAGTACCATGCTGTTTTGGTTACTGTAGCCTTGTAGTATAGTTTGAAGTCAGGTAGCATGATGCCTCCAGCTTTGTTCTTTTGGCTTAGGATTGCCTTGGCAATGCGGGCTCTTTTTTGGTTCCATATGAACTTTAAAGTAGTTTTTTCCAATTCCGTGAAGAAAGTCATTGGTAGCTTGGTGGAAGAAATTTCTAAGCAGCAAAGCATTCAAGATGTGACTTGGGTGCTGTTAAAGGCATTCAGTTTTATAAGGGAAGCAGAGCATAAAAGTTTGGAAAATTTGCAGCCTGACTAGGTGATAGAAAAGAAAAACCTATTTTCTGGGGAGAAATTCAAGTCGGCTGCAGAAATTTGCATAAGTAGCAAGTATCCTAATGTTAATCCTCAAGACCCTGGGGAAAATGTCTCCAGGCCATGTCAGAGACCTTCACGGCAGCCCCTCCCATCACAGGCCTGGAGGCCCAGGAGGTAAAAGAAGTTTCGTGGGTGCCCAGGGTCTCCATGCTGTGTGCAGCCTAGGGACTTGGTGCCCTGTGTCCCAGATGCTCCAGGGGCCATCTGTGGCTGAAAGGGGCCAACATATAGCTCGGGCTGTGACTTCAGAGGGTGGAAGCCCCAAGCGTTGGCAGCTTCTATGTGGTGTTGAGCCTGAGGGTGCACAGGTATCTAGAACTGAGGTTTGGGATTTCCTTCTAGATTTCAGAAGATGTATGGAAACGCCTGGATGCCCTGGCAAAAGTTTGCTGCAGGGGCGGGGCCCTCAGGGAGAACCTCTGCTAGGGCAGTGCAGAAGGGAAATGTGGGGTTGGAGCCTCCATACAGAGTCCCTACTGGGGCACTGCCTAGTGGAGCTGTGAGAAGAGGGCCACCATCCTCCAGATTCCAGAATGGTAGATCCACTAGCAGCTTGCACCATGTGCCTGGAAAAGCTGCAGAGACTCAATGCCAGACTGTGAAAGTACGCAGGAGGGAGGCTGTACCCTGCAAAGTGGAGGTAGGGCCTGCCTCACCCTCCCAAAGTGCTGGGATTACAGGCATGAGCCACTGTGCCCAGCCTCATTACCATTTTAATGGGTGTTTGCAGGGGCGGAGCTGCCCAAGACCATGGGGACCCAGCTCTTGCATCAGCGTGACCTGGATGTGAGACCTGGAGTCAAAGGAGATTATTTTGAAGCTTTAATGTTTGACTGCCTTGCTGGATTTCAGACCTACCTGGGCGCTGTAAACCCTTTGTTGTGGCCAATTTCTCCCACTTGGAATTGCATACCTAGGAAGTAACTAGCTTGCTTTTGACTTTATAGAATATAGGCAGAAGGGACTTGCCTTGTCTCAGATGAGACTTTGGACTGTGGACTTTTGGGTTAATGCTGAAATGAATTAAGACTTTGGGGGACTTTTGGGAAGGCATGATTGGTTTTGAAATGTGAGGACATGATATTTGGAAGGGCCAAGGGCAGAATGATATGGTTTGGCTGTGTCCCCACGTAAATCTCAACTTGAATTGTATCTCCCAGAATTCCCACATGTTGTGGGAGGTACCCAGAGGGAGGTAATCGAATCATGGGGGCTGGTCTTTCCTGGGCTATTCTCGTGATAGTGAGTAAGTCTTACAAGATCTGACGGGTTTATCTGGGGTTTCTGCTTCTGCTTCTTCCTCATTTTCTCTTGCTGCCACCATGTAAGAAGTGCCTTTCACCTCCTGCCATGATTCTGAGGACTTTAAGTCCAATTAAACCTCTTTTTCTTCCCAGTCTTGGGTATGTCTTTATCAGCAGCATGAAAGTGGACTAATACAAATAGAGACAGGGTTTTGCCATGTTGCCCAGGCTGGTCCTGGACTCCTGGCCTCAAGCCATCCACCTGCCTCAGCCTCCCAAAGTGCTGGGATTATAGGCATGAGCCACTGTGCCCAGCCTCGTTACCCTTTTAATGGGTGTTTGCAGTGACCCTGTTTTTCCATCTGTAAAATGAGGAGACACACTAGCCAATATTTTCCTTACACTGGCATCTTTAAAAAAATGAAATGATAAGTAGGAGAAGCACTGGTTTTCCTAGAAGAAAGAAGTTCTAGAAATCTATGGCATTATTATTTTTATCAATTTATTGTTTTACTCATAGAACAAATGTGTTAAAGAGTCTTCAAGAAAGATTTATCTATGGCATGCTTTGTCCAGGAGCACAGCTTATTGCATACTATTTAATTGGTGCTGATATTGGGTCCTTCTGAGAAAGAACAAGAAGTTCACAGATGTAGAAACACAGCACACAGAGGTGAAGTGTCTCTGTAAGGTGACTGGACTCAGCCCACAATTCCATTCATGGCTACCTCCTCTAAGGGGAAGGAGACTACTTCTTTCCTGGATGAGCTCTGCCCTTTCCACAGCTAGAAGAGGGCTTGGAAGTCCTTTAGACCAAAGTGGCTGAGGACTGAGAGTTTGTCCTCCAAGTTGGCCTGACACACTGTTGTCAGGGTGGTAGGTAACAGGCACCTTGCTCATCTGTGACCTTCTTGTGCTGGTTGGTGTGTATGTGAGTTCCCAGCACATGCTTTTTGGTAGGCAGGGATCTGTGCTTGACAAGCTGGCATTCCAAACTCCAGATCTTCCAAACACCAGGCCCCTATGTTATTTTTAACTGTCCAAAGTTTTTTCCATGTGTTGTAATTGATGGGACTCAATAGCCGAGTCAGAGAATCTAAACTTCAGCCTATTTTGCATCCCTTGAATGGGCATGGGTCTGATAACCAAGCAGAAAAACACCCTGTTTTCTGAACTGACTGCTCTGAATCTTCCTGCTCACCCTACCCCCCATCATCTCTAGGGAAAAAAAAGCAAGCTCAAAGATAACATGGGTATGCCTGTTTCTGTGGCTCCAGATAGGAGGGAGGAAGATCGTTTCTGTCTGTGACCTTCTCTTCCCCACCTCTCTCTCTGAGTCCTGATAGTGAGGGACTAAGCTACATTTTCAGGAGATAACAAGAAGGGGATTGAGGAGGTTGGCACTCTCTCTCTCCCAGCCCTCTTTTTCCGTCCCCACATTCCCCAGGAGGTAAGCCACCTTCTCATTGTCCTCTGGGGACAGTCCCAGAGAGATGCTCTTACTGGGAAGAGCCTGAGATCTTGTGGCATCCAGTGACGCCATCCGTGTGACAGTCGAGAAGATTTTCAGTGGCCATGACCAGGAGAAGCACACCGTCTCACACTGGCCTGTCATTTGCATTATGAATTTTTCAAGCATGCGTCTCACTTTTTTTCTTCATCCATGTCTCCCCAGACCACAGTGCACTGGGCATTTATGTTGTATTATTGAACACATACAATGTACTAGCTACTGTGACCCTGGGTACATGATGGTGAGCCAAACCAACACAGACCCTATCTTTATGAAGCTTATGGTCCACTTGGGAAGACAGATGTTAATCATATAATCACACAAATATGTAAGTAAATGTGGGATCAGTGTTAAGTTGGAAAGTCCAGGAAGATAGAAGAGTATAGTAGGGGGACCTTTTCTGGTCTAGGGCATTGAGGGAAAATTTCCTTGAAGAGGAAACATTTGATCCCAGCAGAGGGAATAGCATGTGCCAAGGTCCTGTGCATGTTGGGGGACCCATGGAAGGCCACTGTGGCTGCAGCACTGGAGAGGGATGAGATGGTAAGAGAGGTCAGGAGAGGCCTGGTCATGAAGGGCCTTGATGGAGAAGTTTGAGGGCTGTGTACTTTATCCTAAGGGCAGTAAGCAGCCATGGAAGGATTGAAGTTAGGAAAGGGACTTGATCCAGTACACTTTCTAAAAGTTCCCCTGGCCATGGGGAGATTTAGTGATGGAGCCCGGGAAGGTCAGGATGAGTGGGTTTTGGGGAAGCTTGTCTGGGTAAAATTTAGAAAATAAAAATGAGATAGGAGCATATGCAGGAAGGACAAGGTATTAGCTGGAGAAGGCTTTGATGATGGTGCTTTCCCTTTAACTGCCTCGCTCCTTCCTGTCATTCTGATGGACACTCCCTGCCTGCTCCTTGGAGGTTTTCCATGCTATAGGTAGATTGTTTTCCTCCCAGGTAGCACTGAGCAGTTTGCCTCCCTCTGCTTTTCCTTTGGTTTTCTCAAGGTGTCCTCTGAGGACTACCTACAGGAGGGGCACCTGTGTGACTGATGGAAAGGTAGATTCCTGGGCCTCCTCCGCTGGAGCCACTGAATCAAAATCCCTAGGGGTGAGGCCATGCAATCGGATTTTCATGTCCTGGAAAGTTTCAGCACCATTGTTCCTCCCAGCCCTGCATATGCAACAACAAAGGGATGCTTTAAATGTGTGTGGGAGTGGTTATAACCGGAACAAGTGCTTTTGAGGCAAGGTGGTCTCCTTTAGGCCCCTCAAAAATGCAATTGAGGAGACTAGGGCTCTGGGAACTTGGGCATCCTAGTAGAGACCATTACAAAGTGATGGAGTTGGTGGGAGGAGAGAGATGTCTGACTCCCAGGTACCCTTTGCCCTTCTTCCTTCATACCTCTTTCTCCAATGTGCAAGGTTAAAAAGGCATTGAATCTTACGATGTTCAGATGTAGTTCCTTTAAAAAAAGATCAGTACCTTTTTGAGGGCTCAAAAGATCCATATCTAGTTAGTACATGAAAGGGTGGAATCAGGTGAGTTTATTGCTGTTATTCTCACTTCTTCTGGCTGGGTGTGGTGGCTCAGTAATCCAGCACTTTGGGAGGCCGAGGCAGCCACATTGCTTGAGTCCAGGAGTTCAAGATCAGCCTGGGCAACATGGTGAAATGCCGTCTCCAGAAAAAAATACAAAAAAATAGCCAGGCATGGTGACACACACCTGTGGTCCCAGCTACACAGGAGGCCGAGGTGGGAGGATCCCTTGAGCCTGGGAGGTAGAGGTTGCAGTGAGCCGAGATTGTGCCACTGCACTCCAGCCTGGGTAACAGAGTGAGAATCTCCCAATAAAACAAAAAACAAAAAACAAACTTATTGTGGAAGATATCAAGCTTATACAACAGTAGAAAGAATAGTATAAAGAACCCCCAAGTATCCATCCCCCAACTTTGATAGTCATGGAGGGCGGGGCATCTCTTCAATTGTTCAGACTTTGCAGTGTGATGCTCTTGTTTTTATGTCTATTGAATGAAACACCTTAGAGGAGAATGGGCAGAGGGAACAGAGAAGCTTTCAGAGTACCCCAACCATCTATCGGCCAGAGAGGGAGAAGGTTCTTTTGACCCCTCTGCCCCTCAACAGTACAGCTCATAGGAGAGCTAGTGCTTGGAATAATAGATCTAGGAACCACCTTAGAGACCATGGAAGGGGGTTCTTCCTCACTATCTAGACGTGACACCAGAGGCCTGGATGGCCTGGGATAGTCCTCAGGCCTCACAGTTAAAAAAAGGTGGGGCCAGGCCTGGGATCAGGTTCTCCATACAGTGCAACTCATCTCCCTTACTCATCATAGATGTGCTCAACATTTTTTGCTCGTATTTTCCAGTATGAAGCTGTAGGAGGCAGAACTCCTATAAAAAGCTGTTACACCTGTAATCCCAGCACTTTGGGAGACTGAGGTGGGAGGATTGTTGGAGCCCGGGAGTTTGAGAACAACCCGGACAACACAGTGAGACCCCATCTCTATAAAAATTATTTTATTAAAAATAAAAGCCGTCCTGTTGAAATACCAGTATTTGGGCACCTAGGCCTTTGCTTCCTCCTTGTAAGACCCTTGAGGTAGCCTGGAGATTTCGTGGTCTGGTTAGAAAAGAATACCCTTAGAAAATGAGTACCAGTGGGCTAGGCATGATGGCTCACTCCTATAATCCCAGCACTTTGGGAGGCCGAGTCGGGTGGATCACGAGTCGGATGGAGTTTCGCTCTTGTTGCCCAGGCTGGAGTGCAATGGTGCAAACTTCGCTCACTGCAACATCCACCTCCTGGGTTCAAGCGATTCTCCTGTCTCAGCCTCCCGAGTAGCTGGGATTACAGGCATGTGCCACCATGCCCAGCTAATTTTGTATTTTTAGTAGAGATGGGGTTTCTTCGTGTTGGTCAGGCTGGTTTCAAACTCCCAACCTCAGGTGATCCGCCCTCCTCGGCCTCCCAAAGTGCTGGGATTATAGGCGTGAGCCACCACACCCAGCCATATTAACTTTTTTATCGATGAGAAAACTCCAAGGAGTTGCCCAAGATTTGCCCAAGACTCCATGGCTGGTATCGATGGAGCAGAGGCGGGTACCTGAGCCTGTGCATTCGAATAAGCTTGGGTTCAGAAAGGAGCAGTGAGAACACCAGCCAGGTCACTGGGAGAGAGAAGCTGGACAGGTCACGAAGGACCTGATTATAAATACTTGGGCGAAAAGTTTGGCACTGATCCTGCAGGTGCTGGGGAGTTACTTAAGGTTTGGCACGATGAATGTTGAGGGTGATTAATTTGCAGGATGGCTTGTGCGTGGAGGCTGTGGCAGGAACAGACTGAGGTGACCTCAGTCTGTGGAAGAGGTGGTGGTGGGAATGTGCCTGGTAAAACCAAGTAATGAAAACCCTCATAGCCCATCAAACTAAATTACCATCAAATCAACAAGCCGGCAAGCCCATCTCATACAAAGTGGAGACAGAGCTTCCACATTGCTGCCAGGGCATTAGTGCTGCTTTCTTTTTTATTTTTTTTCTGAGACTGAGTCTTGCTCTGTCACCTAGGCTGGAGTGCAATGGAGTGATCTTGGCTCACTGCATCCTCCGCCTTCTGGGTTCAAGTGATTCTCCTGCCTCAGCCTCCCAAGTAGCTGGGATTACAGGTGCACATCACCACACCCAGCTAATTTTTGTGTTTTTAGTAGAGACGGGGTTTCATCATGTTGGCCAGGCTGGTCTCAAACTCCTGACCTCAAGTGATCTGCCTGCCTCTGCCTCCCAAAGGGCTGGGATTACAGGCATGAGCCGATGCACCCGGCCTAGTGCTGATGTCAATTCAGTGGCAAGGACATAAAGCTTCATCGATATATGAGACCTGTGAAACTTGCACACGCCCTGCATTGATGGGCTCCTTACCCCCCTGTGGTTTCAGCCGTCAGTGAGGTCCTCGGTGCACCATCATAATCTCTTCTCACCCTTTCCATTTCTTCCTATGGCAGAGAATAGTCCAATGTTTTTCCATTTACCTGAAAACCCTTTCCATCTCTCTGCTCTCAGCCGATGATTTCACCCCAGATTTGTTCAAGAAAATTGAAGCCAAGAAGCAGGAACTTCGTCGTCATCCCCATTCTCTACCTCATTGTGGCAAAAGCCACTTCTTCAGAAGGCCCTTCCTGGCCCAACCTATCTAATATTGTCCCCGCATCATGCTCCCATGGCCTGGTTTTATTTTCTTCACAGTGCATACAATATCAGAAATTATCTCTATGGATCTGTTTGCTCACTTTTCCTTTGTCTGCCTTTCCTCTCCGAAAGTAAGTTCCATGAGAGCACAGACCTTGCCTGTCTTGGGCACTGCAGCGTCCATAGTCTCTAGCAGAGTAAATGCCTGGGACCTGGCATGGGCTCAAAAAGATAAATGAATGAGTGGATTCCCATGACTCCAGCCAGCACCCGTGACTCAATCTCCCTCTCTCCTCCTGACCATTCTACTGCCTGGATGTCCTCCCTCACACTTCCATCCTGAATGAATTGAACTTCTTCCCTTAAAGCTGCTTATTCCCCTTGGAGTTCACTGTCATCTAAGCAAAAATCTGAGCATCATCTTTGGCTCCTCCCTCCCCTCGTCCTGACTTACACTTGGTCCCGAGTCATATTGGCTTAACCTTGGGTATGTCTCTGGACTCTGTCCCCTACTCTGTTCACCTCCCATTCAGGCCACATTGTGGCTTGTGGGGACACTGGCAGGAGCTTCCTCGTTGACCTCCCAGCCTGCAGTGCTTCTACCCCATCAGGCCACTTTTCCCCACAGGAAAGGCATTGCACAGTTCAGTTTCTTTATACTTTTGATGGCTCCTACTGATTATAGAATCCATCCATCCATCCATCCATCCATCCATCCATCCATCCATCCGCTAATTACTGAGTGCCAACCTGGGCAGCACCATGCACAGGGCCGGGGTAGAGAGCTGAAAGCTCAAGCTTTGCTTTCATATCCATTTTCAATCTTGTAGGAGGGGAAGAAATAAACAACCCAAGTCACTCAAGTGTTACAGGCATTTTTTATTAATTTGTCAAATATTTATTGAGCTCTCACTAAGTGCCAAGCACTGTAGGTGCTGGGGATATGGCAGTCGATAAAACAAAGTCCCTGCCTTCATGGAGCCCGCAGTCCAGTGGAGGAGGCCGACACTGACCAAAAACACAAGTGTAAATGCTGTGGCAGAAAATAAAGCAAAGTAGGGACACGTATGTGTGGGTTTGTCCCCTTGTAGGGGGTGCGAGAGGTGGCTTCACTGAGAAGGTGGTGATTGAGCAGAGACCTGCTGGATGGGAGGGAGAGGCATTTGTCGGGAGGAGAAGCAGTCCATGAAGAGGGAGCAGGTGATGCCCTGTGCCCAGGCCCTGAGCTGGGTGTGAGCCCTGGGGAGTGTGTATGGGGGTGGGTGGGATGCAAAGGAGGGGAGGGATCAATTCTCTCTGGAGGGACCAGGGCGCACTTACCAGAGGAGGATGCCAGACTCCCTAGACCAACATTCACATTTCAGCCTCCCATTCCACCACCTTTTGGCAGACTCTGAGCTTGAATCACATCCCACCATGGGCTTCCCACCTCCAGGCCTTTGCTTCTGTGACCTTCTCTGCCAGGACTTCTTCCCCGACCCCCAGGTCTCTACTTGATGAGCTCTTCCAGTGTCTATGCACACTTCAAGGCCCGAGACTTCTTTCTAGGCAGAACAGCTGCCCCTAGTGCTTAATTCCTGCCAGCAGAACATTTGCACAGTGGCATAGTGACTTCTGGTGGGCTGTGTCTATGCTAGCCACTCTCACCTGCTGGAGTTCCTTGAGTAAAGGAATTGAGCCTTAGCTATCTCTGGTCTGCTGGGCACACAGTAGGTGGCTCAATGCACATTCAAAACAAATGCACTGGAAAACAGCTTGTTTTCTTACCAGACCACTCTATATAGGCATGTGGGCAGACACACGTGCCCTTTTCTACACATCGGTTGCTTTTTTTTTTTTTTTTTTTAGAATCCTACATTTCCCAATGAAAGCAAGAGGGTCATGAAATTAATTTGTCACTCTGGTGCCAGCTTCAATCAGCTTACTCATGACCTCAGAAGGAGTTTTTAAACATGTGTTTCTCATCTATGTGCTAATTTCTCTTCCCTTTCTCGGTAATCTTCTCTTCCCCTGAAACTTGTGGGTGGTAATTGCCTTCAGGTCGGTGGCACCTGCAACTCCTCCTGAGTCCACTGAGCACACAGTTTCCAGCTTTGGGCCGGGGAGGAGAGGAGGTGGTCCCTGACTTGGGAAGGGTGAGAAAAAGTTAAAATGAAATGAGATTTCTTTGTCTTTTGAAATTCATTAGAGCTTATTTATTTGCTTGAGAAAGGCCTGGGGATACACACACACACACACACACACACACACACACATATATATATACACACACACACACACACATATATGTATACACACACATATATATATATATATATATATATATATATATATATATATATAAATGGAATAATATATCTGGAAGGAGATTCTGTAATTTTTCCTCCCTAATGGGGATATAAAAATATTTCCAGGTGTCCTAGGATTAATTTAATTCAACAAATACTTATTGTTGAATTAGTCACACTATTCTGGGTGCTAGACATAGAGCAGTGAACAAATTGGGCAAAATCCTTGCCTTCATGGAGCTTGCATTCTAGTGGGGGCACCCAGATGATAATGTAACTAAGTAAAGAAGTGAGATGGTGAGAAGTTTATGGAGGTAACTAAAATGGGGAGTTGGGACCAGGAGTGTTGGGGGAAAAGCTCCCTGAGAAGCAACATTTGAGGGTCATCCAGGAGAAGAGGATTCAAGTCAGAGGGAACAGCAGGTGCAAAGGTCCAGAGGTGGAGGCATGGCTGATGTTTTGAAGAACAGCAAGGGAAGCCATGTGGCTGGTGCAGAGTGAGAGGGAGTGGGAGGAATAGGAGCACTTTGGCTTATCCTTGGAGTTGGGACCTACCAGAAGGTTTTACAGCATCACTCTGGCTGCTGAGTTGAGAGTAGATGGAGGAGGCAGTGACTTGGACCACGTGGTAACAGCAAAGGTGGTGAGAGGTAGCTGATTCTGAGTACATTTTGAAGGTAGAGATGATGGGATTAAGATGGAATTGAAAGTAGGATGTGACAACAAGAGAGGCATCCATTTGGCCTGAGCAAGTGGAAGATGAGACGGTGGATTGTTGTGATGGTGAGGACTGTGAGGGCAGCAGGTGTGTGTGGGCTCCACTTCGTCTGGAAGGCTTGAGAGGCCAATTCAACTTCCAGGTGGAAATGGCCAAGAGCAGGTGCATTGTTGATAGCATGCAGGGGGGGTTAGGGAACTGTCCAGTGGGCCTCACTGGGACCTGGATGCAAACTGGTTGCTATAAAGGCACAGGGAACTAACTCAGGTCGTGTGCCACTGAGCTCCCATTCTTAAAGCACATTGGGATTCAATTCAAGAAATGTTTATTAGCTCTAATTACATGGGAGGCATTGTGCTAGGTGATGAGGATATTTCAGAAAAGTAGGGCTGAAGCGGTTTGCCTTCTTAGAGCTTACAGTCTATGGGTGAAAGCATATAATACATACTTTTTTGTTAGAACAATGGTAAATCCACAAGTAATATAGAACATGCTGTATTTTGATGAATGCATTAAAACCTTATGACACCATTTCCATTATTGTGATAAAGTAAGAAAAATTGAAAATGCTGTTTTTCCAAATTCTTTCCTTCTTTCTTTCTTTCTTTCTTTCTTTCTTTCTTTCTTTCTTTCTTTCTTTCTTTCTTTCTTTCTTTCTCTTTCTTTCTTTCTCTCTCTTTCTTCTTTCTCTCTCTCTTTCTTTCTTTTCTTTCTCTCTTTCTTTTGCTAAGAAAGGTGATTTGGAAGTTCTCGTGCACCAAATGTAGTCTTTGTTAGGATTAGCCAAACATGGCTAAATGTTTTCCATGATCAAGCACTCACATAGGAGGTCACTGGTTATATTAGCAAGGTGTATAAGTTATCTCTGGCAGGGAAGTTTTGTTTTTTAAAACTGCTACAATCATGTTTGCTAGCAAAATGACCAAATTCACCCTCAAAAGTGGGTGAGAAACATACTCAACATATTGAGAGAGAATATACACAACTTAAGGAGAGCTAGGGGTCTGAATTAGCGGTGAGTACATACAATACTAAGCAAATGAATTAAATAAGACAATTATTAATTCCAGGAATGCAAGTTATCCAGTGGAGGAAATGTAACTAGAGAATACTACATGTCACAGTTCTGAATAGAGCTTACATAATCATAGCAATAAAAACGGTAATCATTGAGAAATAAAAATATATATTCACCAGTACATACATACACAGAGTGAGCGAGAGAGGGAGGGAGGAAGGAGACAGACAGATAGATGATAGATAGTAAGCAGGCAGGCAGACAGATGGAGCATAGGGGGATGGAGAGAAAGGAAGTGTGTATGTGTCTGTGTGTGTGTGTGTGTGTGTGTGTGTGTGTGTGTGTGTGTGTATAGTGAGAACAGATAAGAAAGCACAGGCTACAAAAAGGGTAAATCCACTCTTTCCTACTTGGGGAAGCCTAAAACTGAAAAATCAAGAAACAACAGTTAAAAACATGTTATTTAGAGATGTGTAGGTAAATATCACAATCTTCAATTAAAAGAATTAAGCTGCCGGGCGTGGTGGCTCATGCCTGTAATCCCAGCACTTTGGGAGGCTGAGGTGGGTGGATTACCTGAGGCTAGGAGTTCGAGACCAGCCTGGCCAACATGGTGAAACCCCATCTCTAATAAAAATACAAAAATTAGCTGTGCATGGTGGTGCACGCCTGTAATCTCAGCTACTCGGGAGGCTGAGGCAGGAGAATTGCTTGAAACCAGGAGGTGGAGGTTTGTGGTGAGCCAAGATTGTGCCATTGCACTCCAGCCTTGGCGACAGAGTGAGACTCTTTCTCAGAAAAAAAGAAAAAGAAAAAGAAAAAGAATTAAGCTGCAGTGGACCACTATTTTGTATAACAAGCCTTATAACACGAAATTTAAGATGTTAATAAAGGGCCGGGTGTGGTGGCTCATGACTATAATCCCAGCACTTTGGGAGGCTGAGGTGGTAGGATCGCTTGAGCATAGGAGTTCAAGCATAGCCTCGGCAACATAGTGAGACATTGTCTCTACAAAAAGTAAAACAAAATAAGACAGGCATGTTGGCTTGTGCCTGTAGTCCTAGCTACTTGGGAGGCTGAGGTGGGAGGATCACTTGAGCCTGGGAGGTGGACATTGTAGTGAGCTATGATTGTGCCACTGCATTCTAGCCTGGGCAACAGGGTGAGACCCTGTCTCAAAAACAAAACAAAACAAAACAAAAGATGTTAATAAAAATAAAAGTGAAATTCAAGCAAATGAAAAAAAGTGGGGAGAACTTTGGTCAACATCGCAGCTAAGCTTGTAAAAATTCTGAATGTGGTCCCAGGTGGGCCTGCCACAGTGAAGTCTGGGTACCCTTTCCTCTGCCACTGTTTACTTATGTTTACTTACATGGTGGGCTTACACCATTTCTGTTTTTTTTTTTTTTTGTCAGTTAAATGGGGAACTGGATTGGGATGGGTAGTTGGGTGGTATTCTAGCTCTTGGCACTAGATCATGTCTTTCAGGTTTAAATTATTTGGGACAAGATCCCAGGTGATTCAGGAATGTCTTGGTGAATATACCCCTGGCCCTAAATCTGGGAGGGATGGGAGATAACATTTATAGTTGGCTCCTTCTCTAGCATGAAAACTCTGTGAAGGTAGCAATTTGGTCTTGTTCACTGCTGAGTCCCCAGCATCTGGCTCCGTATTTGCTGGGGGAATGAGTGAACTGTGACCCTCGCCCCCAGTAGTCAAGCTGTTCTACCTCTACAGCAAACAGCTGACTTTGAGCGGAGGTGTGTGGGAGCATTGCTCAGGCCCACCCGCTCTGTCCCCTGGGCCAGGGTAAGGTCGAAGAGGGATGGCCTGGGCACTGGAATGTACAAATAGATACAACACGTGATTCCAGAAGGTTAGGGGGGAATGGTGTGGGGGGGGGGGGGGAGGAAGCTGCAGAGAACCAATGAAGTTAAACTGTGATAGATAGTCAAAGAAGAGAGGAAGCCAAGGGTGGTAGAAACCCCAGGTAGAAATGCTGCCAGCTGGGTGCTTAGCTTAGCTTTGGGGAAATGTTGCTTCCCTGTTGGCCTTGAAAGGAGTTCCTTTTTTACTGTATAGTATGGAAAATTTCAAACCTATGTAGTATCGTGAACACTCTTATACCCATCACCTAGCACCCAAATTGCTTCCACAACTTGCAACTCAGAGCCAGCGTTGTCTCATCTATAGCCTACTCCTACCCTCTCACACTAGAGATTACTTTGAAATAAATCTCAGACATCATTTTATCTGTAAATTATTTCAGTATGTATCTGCAAAAAATAAAGATTCTTTCTGGAAACCTAGTCACAATCTTATCTGAGTTAACAATAATTCCACAGTATTATTAAATATCCAGTTACTGTTTAAATATATATGTGTATATAGGTATGTGTGTGCATATATACATATACATATACACCCATATATAGTGTTATTTAGCAGTATTTTAAAAATGCCTTTGTTTTTATAGAAATGATGTATATTTGTTACTAAAAATTCAAGCAACACATAAAAGTAAAAAGATGAGAGCAAAATTATCACCCCAAATCCATTGGACGAACATAATTTCAGATACCTCTCCATGCAAATGTCCACACAGAACAAATAGAAGATGAATATGAATGCTGTCAGAAATACTTTGCATGTTCAAAAGGAATCTCTGAGTAGTATTTTAGACCTGAAGGGACACCTAAGGCTCTTTGGCTTTTGCATAAGGCAGGGCTAGACTGTAAACTCCTGGAGGGAAGGACCACGCCTTAGTTTTGTTTATACATTCCCCCACCCCCTATCTTAGTGCCTGGCACTCAGGCAGTCCACCAATAACTGTGGTTTGAATTGAAGGGGTCCCTAAGACATCAATCATCTGATGGAATACGATGGCCCACAAGTTGAAATCACTTGCTAAGATCCCACAGCTAGTCAGGGTGCCTGTGGGGCTGGAGGCAGTTCTCCTGAGTCCTACTTCCCTGCTCTCTCTGTAGCCTGTGGGATTTAGCCATATAGCAGAGTGGGTAAGTGCACAAGCCTGGAGTTGGACACACCTGGGTTTTTTTTTTTTTTTTTGAGATAGAGTCTTAACTCTGTCACCCAGGCTGGAGTGCAGTGGTGTGATATTGGCTCACTGCAACCTCCGCCTCCCAGGCTCAAGCAATCGTCCCACCTTAGCCTCCTGAGTAGATGGGACCACATGTGTATGCCACCATACCTGGCTAATTTGTTTCATATTTTTGGTAGAGATGGGGTTTCGCCATGTTGCCCAGGCTAGTCTTGAACTCCTGGCCTCAAGTAATCCGCCTGCCTGAGCCTCCCAAAGTCCTGGGATTACAGGCATGAGCCACTGCACCTGGCCTACACCTGGGTTTGATTTTGCTCTGAACGTTTTCTATGACTTAGCAGCTATGTGACTTTTCTCACCCACACAGTTTCCCTACCTCAAAGAGATGTTGCAAGGAGTAAATGAAATCATGCATAACGAACTCCTTGCAGGCCAGGCGTGGTGGCTCACGCCTGTAATCCCAGCACTTTGAGAGGCTGAGGTGGGCGGATCACAGGGTCAAGAGATTGAGACCATCCTGGCCAACATGGTGAAACGCCGTCTCTACTAAAAATACAAAAAAATTAGCTGGGCATGGTGGCGTGTGCCTGTAGTCCCAGCTGCTCGGGAGGCTGAGGCAGGAGAATTGCTTGAACCCAGGAGGCGGAGGTTGCAGTGAGCCGAGATTGCGCCCCTGCACTCCAACCTGGTGACAGAGTGAGACTCCATCTCAAAAACAAACAAACAAACAAACAAAAAAACTCATTGCCTACTTCCTAGCATGTACTAGGTGCCAAATAAATGTTAATTGTAGTTATTATTATTTGTAATAATAGCAGCAGCAGTAGTAATAGTATCACTATTTTCTTAATCTTCGGGGATTATCAATTGAAACTCAAAGGAAGTTCAAACCCTCCCTCCCCGACCAGTTCCTAGTTGCAGATGGAACCATGTTTAAACTTTTGCTTTTTAAGTAAGTTTTTAACAAGCTTTTTAATAAGTTTATAACTTTTGCTTATTATTTCATGTGGGAATTCTTTTCCCCCATAAAATCATTTTTCCTCAGTCAGCAGCTGATTGTGTCAGCTTCTGATTGGCCATTCACATTTGGTGGTCAAGGTTTGTGTGTCTTCTCTCCATACATGGTTTAGAGGTGCTGCCTTGACAAGAGCTTAGCAAATAGTTATTCTAAGCTCTTCAAATAGAAACTCTGAGCAAAGGGCTCGGTGCAAGACGTCTGGCCTTCCTGGTCGCCCCTTTAGTCTGCTGATTCAGCAGCTCTTCCAGGGACCTCCTCCAGGCCCTTGGTCTGTCAGGTCACTAATGGAATCTGCTGGAAGCAAATTAACTCATGAAAAAAGGGTAAACAAATCACTCCAGCTCTTGGTGTCTGCCCCAGGATGGCTGGCACTTCCCGGTGAACTCCTAAGTCCTCGCCCCACATTTCATACCCCCGCAGGGGAGGCCCACTTCCTCTTGCACAGTTACTGAGGGGCACAGGGGCCGCGCTGGACTCTCAGCCCCTCCGCACAGAGCTATATAGCCTGCGCAGGTGAAAAGGCCATCTGCCTGTCCTCCTGTGCTTCACGCATTATTCATACTTCTGGATTTGGGTTGGCTTAACTACTTGCTCTAGTCAGGCCTGGGAAAATGGGGGCAGATGGAGGAGGAAACAGCTATGCTCTTAAGCCAGGGCATGGGCTCTTCTTCCCTGGTTAAATGTGTGCTCTTTTCAAAATATTATCTCCTGTGGGTGGGATCCATGCTCCAGCGGGTCCTTCTAGCCCCCATGCATTCTTGGAATGCAGTTTCCCTTCCTAGATCTGTGTAGGGTTTGGGGGACCTTCACAGAGCAGGCTGAGAAATGGCTTGTTTCCAGAAGTACCAGCACCCCACTTCCTCTTCCTTTTTTCACCCAACCCCTCTCATCTTCCAAAAGGTGCCTCATGGATCCCTGAGTAAATTGACAATGTTCTGGCTGGGAGTCCTGCTGGCTGCAAGATGGATGATCAGAAAGGAAGGAAAGATGTTCTCCTGTTTTAGAGGAGAAAAGGATTTTGTGGGGCTGGGGAACCCACCACAGCATCCTGTGATACCCTCAGAACAGAATTGGAGTAGTGGAATTAAGGTGGGGCTGTGACTGATACTGTGTCTGGGGTGGAAAGAACCATAGACATCCTCCTCCTCCTTGTGTAGTTGGAGTAAGTCCAAAGAAGTGCCCTGCCCAAAGCTATTGCATGAAACAGCTCTGGGAAAGCCCAAAGCACAGGCCAGGCCACAGAAATGTTTAATGAGGCCACAGTCATTCAACACTTGTTTCTTTCTTTCTTTACAATTCACCCAGCTCCTCGGTAAGCAGTTGTTGATCTAGATTCTACAACCTAAGTTTCCTGACATTCCCTGCCCACTAATATAATTTATATCTGAGTACAGGGATTGTGATGTGGGGCTCTGCTGATCACTCATGCCTCAAGCCAATGAAAGCCCGAAAGGTATGAGTTCTCAGCTAAGAGTACCCTGATGGTAACCTTTCTCCTGTCCTGGTGAGCTAGGTTTGGAAGCGTTGCTTTGGATGGAACTTATATGTGGGTTACATACTGCCCCAGTAGAATCCTTTGCCTCCCCCACCATCCCCTTGGCCAGTGGGACTCTGAGGTTGGCTTGGTTAAAAGGCTCCCTATAAAACTAAGCTTCATAGAAGCAGGCTGAGACCATGGAGAGAACTCCAGGCTGGAATGGGGAAGGCATGACAAGGCGTTCTATGTCTTCCACCAGGTGGTTGAACCTTCTAGACACATTCTGGGAAGGTCTTTACAGACCAATATCTCTGGAATACATTTCAATGCACTAAACAGACCAATGCTTCTTCTACAGACCATGCTGTCCTGGGTAGATCACCACTCTGTGCCTTAGTTACTTTTTCTGTAAATTGGAGCCACTCATAATGGGCTACTATCTCTCCAGGAATACAGATGAGATGGTACATGTGAAATCTCTTTTGAAAAGAAGGTATAGCATGGGCTCAATTCCTAATTCCCTCATTCCTACTGATTTTTAAAAATTGTCATGGCAAATAAACCATTGGAGGTTTCATTTCGTTCATCTCACAGATAAAAATGTAGACAGGTAAGCGTAGGTCATCCCTGCTTAGTAAATAGGCGTGATCGTCACCGGGCCAGTCAGTGACAGAGCTGCAGAAGCTGGGCCCTAGGCCTCTCAGTTTGGTCTCTCCACCCCTCCTACCTGTTACTTTTTCATATTCCATATCAAAGTCTCATTCTTTCTTTCAAGTCCTATGTAGTCTGGGCTCTGATCATCCGGGGACTGCACAAGTCTTATTAATATTAAAGGTGAGGATTTTCTTAGCCTACTTCCCTTCGTTTCTAAATTAGTCTTGGAAAGGAGAGGGCAAAAGTAGAATCAGAAGGACAACTATGCCCTAAAAGGAAAGCATTCTGGTTTGTCGCAAATTTGGGCTCCCTCTGGTGACTTTAAGGATTGTGCTGAGTGAAGTGTGGGCAGTAAGTAACTGACTAGCTGCAGAACTTCTGTGACTGTTAGAGGGTTTTGATTTCAGGGCCAGGCTGAAATTGACCATTTGATCCTGCTGCCTAGCTCTGGCAAACACTAGGAGTTCAAGAGACCCAGGATGTATATTTTCACTCCTTTCGAATTCCAAGCCACTGATTTGCTGATGACAACTATAGCTATATTCATGAGAAAAACAGCTGTAAGTGAACAATTTTGGAAACAAATTGGATTTTCTTATCAGCTTATCACTTCAACCTGTTTTTATTTTATTTCTAATTACTTTATGACTGGAAAGGGCCCTTTGAGGTCAGGTCTCCATTTCCTGAGTTTCTAACTGAAATATTCTCTAAACAAATACTTAAATGACTGAAGAAGTTGATGGCCCATGAAAAATTCATTCTTTAAGAGAATAAAAGATGATTTGTTTTTTCTTTTTTTTTGACACAGGATTTCACTCTATCACCCAGGCTGGAGTAGAGTAGAGAGAGTAGAGTGTGATCTCGGCTCACTGCAACCTCCACCTCCCGGGTTCAAGCAATTCTCCTGCCTCAGCCTCAAGAGTAGCTGGGACTATAGCATGCACTACCTTGCCTGGCTAATTTTTGTATTTTTAGTAGAGACAGGGTTTCACCATGTTGGCCAGGCTGGTCTCGAACTCCTGACCCCAAGTGATCCGCCCATCTTGGCCTCCCAAAGTGCTGGGATTACAGGTGTGAGGCACTGCGCCTGGCCAAAAAGATGACTTTAATAACAGGAGAGATTCCAGTCTATTGGTTGGTTTCATGAGTTTATGTGTTCTGGACTTTCTGGTGTTTCTCAAGTCATCGTTAAGGAAGTCAAGTCAAGGAGCCTGAGTTGTTTCCCAGATCTTGGAGGTTTGTATGTCAGTATCCTGCCAAATACAGCTTCAACCTTTTCTTCTGGTAAGTGGGTTTGAAGATATTGTCCTTTCTTGACGTGGTACATTGTAGATGGTGACATGAGGGTTGGCAGTACTGCAGTGAAAGTTTGCAATTATTTTGTGTATGTAAAAAAGGTAGCAGGCCGGGCATGGTGGCTCATGCCTGTAATCCCAGGTCTTTGGGAGCCTAAGGCAGGCAGATCACAAGGTCAGGAGTTTGAGACCATCCTGGCCAACATAGTGAAACCCCGTCTCTACTAAAAATTAGCCAGGCATGGTGGTCCGCGCCTGTAGTACCAGCTACTTGGGAGGCTGAGGCAGGAGAATCACTTGAATCTGGGAGGCAGAGGTTGTGTTGAGCCAAGATCGTGCCACTGCACTGCAGCCTGGTTAATAGAGCAAGCTTCTATCTCAAAAAAAAAAAAAAAAAAAAAAAGGCAGCAAGCTATTTCTAAATTCTACTGGCTTACTTTGCACAGGCATGGGGACAAAATACCACACCTGGGGAAAAAATAGATGATCTTAGAGTAACTTTTTCATTTTGTGATTTGAAACATTTAAAAAGCAACATGGTGGCTAGTCTGAGGGTAGTGAGTTATCTCAATTGATTGTTCACAGTTACAGATTGAACTCCTTGTTCTTTCCTTCCCCCTTTCTCACTGCTGCTCTTGACTAGTCTTAAAAAAAAAAACAACAACATGCTGATTGTAAACAATGCACAGTAAAGAACATAAAACAAGAAAAAAAGAGGTTTTCTCTCTGTCTGTCCATTCTGTTCCCCAAAGCTAAGGAGTTTTTGTAAATCCTTCCAGATATTTTCTATGCCTCAGCAAGCATGCATACACACACACACACATACACACACACACACGCAAGGCTATGGCAGAATAGTTGTTGGTAGTTTAATTAAAAAAAAATCAGCTGTAGGGTAATTTTCTTTATTTCTTTGACTATTGGTAAATTGAGAGAACTCCCATTCAGATTCTTTAGAAAAGTCCTTTCTATAAACACTTAAATGTCTCCAATAAACCTATAACTTGCATGTGGCACGGGCTCTGTTTATTGATGCAAACAGTATGTATGTAGTGTGTGGCAAAGAAAGTTATTCTAAGTGTTAAAATGCAGGCTAAAAACATTCCATGTAGAAATCGGTGTGTAAGGCAGTCAACACGGACGATGTGAGTGGGGAAAAAATAGTGGGCTGTTTTTATAACGTTTGACCAATGACATACAAGTTTTCCAGGAATCTCAGAGCACAATATTAAAGGTCGAATAAATGTATAACGTGAGAATGTGTGACGTTTATTGCCAATCATGGCGACAGGCTGTGATCAGAGTGTGAGCCGTAGAAAGTTCTGGATTGGTTCTCCTAAGATGGAAAGAGCAGCCAGGCAGGGCAGTGCCTCTGTTTACACACACCGATCCCACCCCTCTCCCCATTTCAGGCAAGGGGGTGTGAGTGTGTTGGGGGCGGTTACCAGAACAGACTCAGTGTGGCAAATTGCATCCAGACTTCAATTTTTCCTCCTCCCACAGACTCCTACGGGTTGTTTTACTAAAGAAGGGTTTTTGAGCACAAGTCCAGTTGTCTTAACTCTGGTGCCCGGCTGGGTACACACGGCTGTACTTAGGCCTCCAACTTTTTTCACTCCGTGGTCTCCTAGGGGATGGGGCAGTGGGAAGCCTTGAGGGGCGCACCCAAGAGCAGCGGCTTCTCCACCACCTCTCCCTGCCCGGCTTCTGCAGGTTCATTCTTCTCCTGCAACTTGACTCTCTCAGGAGAACCAGAACTGGGGCTGAAAGCCCGGTGCTCCACTTTCTCCTCTCCTCTTCAACTTCCTGCCTTCCCTTCACCTACCTGCGGCACCTCTTAGCTTCTGCGTCTCCAAAAGGGATAATGTTCTTCTTGAAAGCGTCTTTTGAGGATTAATTGATGTTTGCTCTATGCTTTGAAGAGAGAGAGAATCCCATCAAGTGGCTCTGCTGTCCTCAAAGCTCGCCATGGTTCCAGCTGGTGGCGGGCCTGGCCAATCGGGAGGCTGGGCGAGCTGTCCTCCCATTGGCCGCCTTTCTGGGCATATCGGTTGCCTACCCGTTGCCCGTGGTAGGAGGGCGATTACCCACACGGGGAGGAACAGATCCTCGAGTGGACATTTTGTACATTGTACATTTTTCACTTGAAGAAGTATCTGCATCAAAATACTCATCCCTCGGGAAGTTAGTTTGTGGCCATCTGTGACATTTTCTCATTTGTAAATTGTTCTTTCCTGTCTTTAAAAAAAAGCTTTATCCGTGTAGGAGCAAGAGTAGTTATAATCTGCCACCTCTCAAAGAAGTCCCTTTGCCAGGCCATTTATATGTTAATTGCTTGTGGTTTGGGGAGGAAAAGGATGTTACCTGCTTCATGATAAGCATTTTCATCTCAATGAATTCTTTGTTAGAGTTGTTTAATCAAAGAAATGGAAACGGCAACCTACTTACTGGAAAGATCCAGATAGTGCCGTGTGAGTTAAGAACCTGAGGGCTCTATGGAGAAGATGGATAAGAAAAAGAGAAAAAGGCTTGTTTTGAGGACAGAGCAAACAGGGATTAAGAAAAATATTAGTCAAAGACATTCTTAGGCTGGAAGGCAAAGCCAGCCAAGCACCCTGGGGTCCTCTTCAGAGTCCTGGGATAGGCTGATGAGGGATTGAGGACATAGTTCTGACCTCACCAATGGGACGTTCAAAGGGGAGCGTTCATTTCCCGGCATTCTCTAGCACCTGGTCCTCATAAATTCTCCCAAGCACTTAGGAACTTGTTTCTCAGCACAGGTCTTTAGAGACCATTGCTCCCCTCTTCTAAGTTATATTCCTGGCTTCTTGAAAAGTTGAAAGATCTGGCAACCCTGAATCTTCATTCCACTATGGCAACCATCAGCAGCTGCTGCCCCTTTAGATGGGGCAGTGGGACTGATACTTTCTGGTTCTCTAACTGGGGCAAATGTTGACTTCTCACCTGTCTGGGAAGTTAATGAGAAGAAAGAGTGTTAATCTAGAAGCACATGCATGAGCGAGTTCACATGGGTACACACATGCGCGTGCGCACACACACACACATGCACACATGCACACACGCCCCACCAGTATTTAGGTCCAGGGGAGATTAGCCTTATTGAGAGGTCACCCCTCAGCAGCTTCAGGGTGTATAATCTGAACCACAGATTTGAAAAGAGTTAATCTTGGGGTGACGTGAGGAGAATCAGATTGTCATGGCACAAAAGATGTTTGTGACCTGTGTGTTGAAAGAATGAGGTGTCTCTCTGGCATGCCCAAGGCATTGGGGCAGCCACATGGATGAGTGCAGTGACTGAACAGAGCAGGGGCGGGGACATCTGGGAGCTGGATAAATATTGTCTAATGATTGCCAGCCCTGGATTTGCTGATGAACTCACTTGGAGATCTGGGGGACTAATTTCTCTTTGCCTTTTCTCAGTTTGCTCATCGGCAAAATGGAGGCACTGCTGTGGGCGTGTCAAACTCCAATGCCTCTGGGGGCTAGTCAGGCCATGTAAACCTGTAGGAGACGAAGAATAGGGAGTTGGTGGGAGGTGGGGGTTGGGGGACTGTACTGTGGTCAACTGGGAAGTTTATGCCCTTCCAGGGAGGATGTTCACATTCAACCCAAGCCATTTGCCACATGGGGAGGTGAGCCCAGTGTTGTCACGGCTCCTGATTTTCTGAGAGAAGTTTGAAATTTGCATTTTTATATGACCTCTAATGACTTTAAACCTAGCTAATTTTTTTTTTAGATGGAGTTTCTCTCTGTCGCCTAGGCAGGAGTGCAGTGGTATGATCTCGGCTCACTGCAACCTCCACCTCCTGGGTTCAAGCGATTCTTCAGCCTCAGCCTCCCAAGGAGCTGGGATTACAGGCATATGACACCATGCCTGGCTAATTTTGTATTTTTTAAGTAAAGATGTGGTTTCACCATGTTGGTCAGGCTGGTCTTGAACTCCTGACCTCAGGTGATCCACCCAGGTTGGCCTCCCAAATTGCTGAGATTACAGGCATGAGCCACTGTGCCCAGCCTAAACCTAGCTAACTCAGTTTTCAAAAAGCATAGTGCACAACCAGAAAGCAATCCCAGGGGCCGTATTTGGCTCACAGCCCTAGATTTATGAGCCCTAGGTTTATCCCAACCTCTGGGATAAAGGCCACCTTGCCTAGCTCCTGACTGCTTTGCTGAGTCTAGGGAATGGGGAGGAAGGAGTTGTTGTGGATAAAGAATGGCCATGAGGATGAAGTTAGGGTGAAGGTGGGAGGTGAAATGTGGACCACACCATTACCAGGCCAGACGGGCAGGTCTGGACCTTGCCGGCTTTAGCTAGGAGAACTGCCGGGCCTGGCAGGAATTGTACACAAAGACAGGCAGGAAGGCGGCCCCGGGGGATGCTGTCCAAGATGTGGGCGGCAGCAGCGTGGGCAGAAGAGTGCAGAGGTCAAGGAGGCAGCCGGGGCAGCCCAGGGAGAGGAGAGGGCAAAAGAGAGCTGGGTGGACCCTGGGTCTCAGAGTGTTTGCCCTCTGCCGTCATGTCTCCTGGTGGGTGTGTGCAACCCCTCACCAATCATGCACAGAGAAGAAGTGTCACAGCCACCAGTGGAAGCTCCGTGCCTGTGGCGTCTATTGAGATAAGCACAAAACGTGGTCCAGCCCTTGAAACTTATAACCATAGTGGGGAATATTGGCTTGTCACACAGGAAGAGAAGCAGAGTGGCAGATTGGTTATGAAGAGAGTAAGTTTAGGCTCAAACAACTTGGGTTTGAATTTTACTTTTGTCACTAACGAGCCATGCAGCTAGGGCAAGTTATTTAACTTTTTTGGGGGCCTGGTTTGTTCATCTGGAGATATTAATATTTTCTACCTTGTAGGGTTATTGTGAGAATTGAATGAAAATGAATGCCATAATGTATGTGAAGCGCTTAGTACAGAACCTGGCACACAGTAAGTGCTCAAATGGAGCCCATTATTTTTATCAGACAAGAAGTAACCTCAGCTAACTTTTGATTAAGCCCAAAATCTGTTGTCTCAGCAGAGAGCCAACAACAGATGCAGTGAAAGCTTACCCCTTTCCTATTGCAAATGCTTTCCTAAACCTACTCTCTCTGTCCTGAACTCCTGTTTTCCAGGAAAGCAGGAAACATTGTAGTCACCTGGATACGGGACACCTGCACAGCTTGAGTAAATCAGTTTGTTTAGCCCTGGTACTACCTGCTTTACATAATGGTGTTTTCATTCAGCTAACAAATATTTACTGAGCAACTACTATGTTCCAAGCCCTAAGAAAGGGTTCTGGAGATGTTGAATAGAATAAGACAAGCTGTGGGACTTCAGGTGCTGAATCCAGCATACAGGCTAAGCTGCTATAACAAAGAGGTCCCCAAATAGAATGGCTACATAAGTCTAGGTACAGTGGCTCATGCCTATAATCTCAGCACTTTGGGAGGCCAAGGCGGGCGGATCACATGAAGCCAGGAATTTGAGGCCAGCCTGGGCAACATAGTGAAACCCTGTCTCTACTTAAAAATACAAAAATTAGCCGGGCATGGTGGTGCATGCTTGTAATCCCAGCTACTTGGGAAGCTGAGGCAGGAGAATCGCTTGAACCCAGGAGGCAGAGGTTGCAGTGAGCCGAGATCGCGCCATTGCACTTGCACTCCAGCCTGGGCGACAGAGCGAGACTCTGTGTCCAAAAAAAAATAAAAAAAATTAAAAAAGCTAAATAAGACAGAAGTTTATTTATTTGTCAAATAAGTCGTTTGGCGAGCACACCAGGCAGGTAAGGTAGGTCCAGAAAGTCATCATTCATGGACCCAGGTTTTAGTCTATTTTGTATCCTTAAGTCTGTATTTCAGGATGTGAGAAGCAGGAGGTGAAATCCAAAGGCAAGTAGCTTGTCATTAAGGAGCTTCCACTCATATCCCATTGGCTTAGCTTAGGCCCATGGCCACACCTGGCCACAAGGGATGTTGGGAAATGTAGTTTGGAGCAGATGGCCATAGGCTTGGGTGAAACTCAAGGTAGAGGCTATCATAAAAATAAAGAAAGGAGAATGAGGCTGGGCGGTGGCTCACACCTTTAATCCCAGCACTTTGGGAGGCTGAGGCGGGTGGATCACCTGAGGTCAGGAGTTTAAGACTAGCTTGGCCAACATGGTGAAAGCCCGTCTCTACTAAAAATACAAAAATTAGCTGGGCATGGTGGTACGTGCCTGTAATCCCAGCTACTCGGGAGGCTGAGGTGGGAGAATCACTTAAACCTGGGAGGCGGAGGTTGTAGTGAGCCCAGATTGAGCCACTGCACTCCAGCCTGGGTGACAGAGCAAGATTCTGTCTCCCCTGCCCCCGCTGAAAAAAAAATAGAAAGGAGAATGAAAACTGAGGCACGGTTAGCAGATTATGGCTGATTATGCTTCAGGGAGATAGAAAAGTAGATCAAGGCTTATAATATAGTGAGGTAAATGCTCCTGTCAAGAGTACTGGTGGAATCCGTAAGTAGAGACATATGTCGTGGCCCTCATGGTAAGTTGGGCTTTGCAATCAGACTTCTGGGTTAAAATCCCAGCGCCATCACTTAACTCCAGTACCTACCCCATAGGATTGGTTTGAGGATTGAATGACCACACACGTGAAGCTCTTAGGACGCGGTCTGGTCCAGAGTGAATGCTCAGTAAGTGTAAGTGTAAAGTAAAGGAAAGACGTGTTCAAGAAAGTCAAACACCAACTCACGGATATCTGGGGAATCCCTCCTGGATTCACCGCCTCTTCAGTTTTACAGCTTCCCACAGCCCTTGTCTGCATGGATGCAAAGTGGGATGTTGAACCCTGGGCCCTTCTTATCACTGAGAAATATGTTAATGAAGATAAACATGTTAATGAAGATAACATGTTAATGAAGATTAACCAGGCCATCTGAAGGGGCTGGTGTTTTGAAAAAATAGAATCAATTTTTGTTTACCTGGACTGGAACTAGGGGAGGAATTTAGAGAGGATGTTCCAAGGTCCTCCTCAGCTTTCTATAGCTTGAGTAGGAGCCAGTGAATTTAGTTGATGGTCTATAGTCCTCTGTGGGAAGAATAAGAGCCCATCTTCTTGGGTGTGTCTCCAGTAAAGGGCTCTGGAAGTTATTTAAAAACTCTGCTACTGGCTGGGTGCAGTGGCTCATAATCCCAGCACTTTGGGAGGCTGAGGCAGGCAGATTACTCGAGGCCAGGAGTTCAAGACTATCCTAGGCTGGGCGTGGTGGCTCACGCCTGTAATCCCAGCACTTTGGGAGGCCGAGGTGGGCAGATCACAAGGTCAGGAGATTGAGACCATCCTGGCTAACATGGTGAAACCTCGTCTCTACTAAAAATACAAAAAAATTAGCCGGGCGTGGTGGCGGGCGCCTGTAGTCCCAGCTACTCCAAAGGCTGTGGCAGGAGAATGGCGTGAACCCAGGAGGCGGAGCTTGCAGTGAGCCGAGATCGCACCACTGCACTCCAGCCTGGGCGACAGAGTGAGACTCCGTCTCAAAAAAAAAAAAAAAAAAAAAAAAAGACTAGCCTGGCCAACATGGTGAAACCCCATCTCTACTAAAAATATAAAAATTAGCTGGGTGTGGTGGCACGTGCCTGTAATCCCAGCTACTCGGGAGGCTGAGACATGAGAATTGCTCGAGCACAGGAGGTAGAGGTTGCAGTGAGCTGAGATCATGCCATTGTATTCCGGCCTGGGTGACAGAAGGAGACTGTCTCAAATAAAATAAAATAAAATAAAATAAAATAAAATAAAATAAAATAAAATAAACAGTAAAATAAAAACTCTGCTACTTAGCTAAATAAAGGGGTGGTGGGCAGTGAGACCTCCTAGGGAGCTGGGGAGAATTTTACTCTTGGGGAAAGCCCTGGTGGCCTTTCTGGAGGCCCTTCAGCAAGAGGAGAAAAATGTAAAAATCGCCCTGCCGGGTGCTGCACTGACAAGGGTTGGGGTATCCTCTTACAGGGAGCCGGTGTCCTCTGATCTGCAGGGGGTATCATGTTTCCCATCTTCTGCAGGTGTCATGTGAAAAGAGAACCCTTCTCGTTTCAGAACAGGAATCTTAACTTTCCTTGGCAATTCACACAGTGGATAGATTTTAACAGAAAAAGAAACAGATGTTGGAGATGGTTTTCCACCAGCTTTCTGCCCTGTCTCTTCTGTGGTCCCAGGAGCTTTAATACCTTTTATCCTCCAGGTCTTGGAATTGGACGTCACACTACTCTGGAAAGTGGCATTGGGTGCCATGTTGCAATGGGCACCATGATTAACTCCTAGGAAATGGGACAGACGTGGGAGAAGGCAGCACACATTAGAAGATTCCTGGTGTTTAGGGCCTCACCTGTGCCTGTGGAGAGGCCAGCAGGAGTGGGCCAGGAGGTAAGCATAGATGCCAGGCCTGGGGAGGGCTAGCTCGTGGACAAGTAGGTAGCTGATTGAGTTCCTGCCTGCCTTTCGTAACTTCAGCTGACCTCTTGGACTTGACCTCTAGGTGTCACAGAGGTCTACACCTGGCTAGCTTGGGTCTGTTGGTGGCCATAGTCTAGGGTTTTCATCCACGTTTTCTCCCTGTGTACCTCATTTCTTCTCTTTCATGGTTTCCTAACTGGGGCTTTCACTGTTCTTTCCTTACTACTGGGCTCAGTATTTTGTTCTTTTTCCCTTAAGGAAGGCTTAGGAAGGGAGTTAGGGTGGAGTGGGAGCTGATTTAACTTGGGTTTCCCATTCCTGGAGGCTTCTTTTTAGAGACAAGGTCTTTCTCTGTCACCCAGGCTGGAGTGCAGTGGCACGATTATAGCTCACTGCAGCCTCCAATTCCTGGGCTCAAGTGATCCTCAAGTAGCTGAAACTACAGACGGGTGCCACCACGCCTGGCTAATTTTTAAATTTGTTGTAGAGTCAGGGACTCACTATGTTGCCCAGGCTGGTCTTGAACTCCTGGTTGTGATCGTCTGGCCTTGACCTCCCAAACTACTGGGATTTACAGGTATGAGCCACCATACCTGGTTCCATGGAGGATTCTAATGAGACTTTGACATTATCTGTGCACTAGATTATATGTGCACCAAGATGTTCATCACAAAGTGTCAAATGCACAGTCTGTGCCTTGACCACGTCATTCCCAGGGCATTCTGAGTCAATATTTAAAAATGTAGAGCCTATCATCCTCTTGTGATCATAATTATTTTACATTGTGTATTTGACTTTGTATGTGTGTTTGTGCGTGAGTGTGTGTGAAAATGTAAATTTGTTGTGTGAGGATCTATAATGTGCCAAAAATGTTGTAATCCTGCTTTGCATTTCTTCATTTTTTAATAACCTGAACACCTGGGCTTCTTGTACCCTCTGAGGGACCCTGTATTCAAGACCCTGTTAGATCAGTGGTAAGCAATCCTTTTCACACAAGAGGGTGATTCAGGAAAAAGAAGCAAACATATTTACGGGGAATTTTCCCCCCTCCAATCAAAATGAAGAGAGCTTTATTGAGTTTCATGACCCAAGGATGGGTGGGGTGTCAAGGAATGCTTAGTCTTAAAATTGACTCTATTGAATAGAATAATACCAATGAGAAAACAGGCACTGCATTTTAGTCTTAATGTCCAGATGTGTGGAGGCAGTTTTCTAACGTTTTGTTCTGAAATTAGACCTCAGAATGCCTGTATGATTCTCATCATTGCATGGACTAGAACCTGTTATGTGTGTACCCGTGTTTTATATATCTCAGTACTCCTTTTGTCCAGCATGGTGCCCAGCACATAGTACGGGCATAAGAAATGCTTACTAGGAAACAATATGGTATAATTGTTAAGAGCACAGACTCTAGCCAAACTGCCTAGCTTTGTCACTTATTAGCTGTGTGACTTTGGGCAAGTTATTACCCTCTCTGGGTGTAAAGTGGGGATTATATCAATCCCAACCTCATAGATAGAGATGGAATGAGTTAATATATATAAGCTCAGAGAGCAATGCCTAGCATATGTAAACCTGCGTAAGTCTTAGCAGCTATTGGCTGGGTGTGGTGGCTCACGCCTGTAATCCCAGCACTTTGGGAGGCTGAGGCGGGTGGATCACCTGAGGTTGGGAGTTTGAGACCAGCCTGACCAACATGGAGAAACCCCATCTCTACTAAAAATAAAAAATTAGCTGGGCATGGTGGCACATGCCTGTAATCCCAGCTACTCAGGAGGCTGAGGCCGGAGAATCACTTGAACTCGGGAGGTGGAGGTTGCAGTGAGCCGAGGTCACGCCATTGCACTCCAGCCTGGGCAACCAGAGTGAAACTCCATCTCAAAAAAGAGAAAAAAATTGTTAGCAGCTATGATAAATATTATTATTGAACTGAATGGAAGCCCAAGTTGGCCTTCAGTGCCAGAGCCTCACAGTGAATCTTTTCCATCTCTGGCTTCCATTTTGTCACCATTGATCAGATCTCTTTAACAGATTTCTGTATAAAAATTAACTACGCCTTTTTCCCCTCATTCAAAACAAGTTTTTTTTTAAGGGAAGCAAAACCCAAAAAACCCCCGATGCTTTTGAAGCAAACCCGGACTCAGCTGTAATGGATAGTGTGTTGGACTAATTACCTGGGGTAGAGGCTGCACATCTAGGTTTTGGAAACAACTCTTTTCCAAAGAAAGTGCCAGTTTCTCTGTTCCCTTTCATCTGTTCTCACAGAATGCCTTTTCTCCACACTCGACTAGCTAGTCTTGGCATTGACAGAGGAGAGCTCCCCGGAATGATACATGACAAATAAAATATGGCTCCAAGAGCCTTGTCCGCTGGATTGCTTTATCCTTAATCATGTTTATTTATTTATTTATTTTTTTGAGATGGAGTCTCACACTGTCACCCGGGTTGGAGTGCAGTGGTATGATCTCGGCTCACTGCAACCTCTGCCTCCTGGGTTCAAGTGATTCTCTTGCCTCAGCCTCCTGAGTAGCTGGGATAACAAGCGTCTGCCACCACGCCTGGCTAATTTTTTATATTTTTAGTAGAGACAGGGTTTCGCCATGTTGGCCAGGCTGGTCTTAAACTCCTGACCTCGTGATCCGCCTGCCTCGGCCTCCCAAAGTGCTGGGATTACCAGTGTGAGCCACCATGCCCAGCTCACAATCATGTTTATTTTTGTTCATTGGCTAATTTCTTAAGTTTTAAAAACTGAAGTATAACATACATACCAAAAAGTGCACATATGTTCACCACCCAAAATTCACAAGTTGAGCATGCTTGTGTCACAAACCCCCAGATGAAGAAACATCACAGAAGCCTAGCCGTGCCCCTTCCAGGCACCCCAACGCTCCCTACCCCATCCCACCAAGGGTGACTATTCTGAGTCTAACCCCATCGAACGGAATCTTCTAGCACGTTCACTTTACTAGCTGGATTTCCCCTTTAACATTGCGTTTGTGAGATTCACCCAGCGTTGGCTGTGGTTGTAGATCATTCATTCTCATCGCTATATAGTGCTCTGTTATGTAAATTCACCATGATTTATTTTCCCATTTTACTTTTGATGAGCATGTGGTAGTTTTTGGTCTGGGTCTTCCATGAGTAGTGGTGCTGGGAACATGCTGGTACTTGTCTTTTGGAGACCTTAAGTATATACACCTTGCAGGGGAGTTACTGGGTCATGGGGCAGGCGTATGTTCAGTAGAGGCTGCTGAATCCTTTTCCAAAGGGGTGCCAATTATCTGCTTGATTCGATTTTGATGAAGAAAATTCTTCTATAGTCAGGTTTTGAGGTTTTTTTTTTTTTTTTCTTAGAGACAGGGTCTCACTCTGTCATCCAGGCTGGAGTGCAGTGGTATAATCATAGCTCCTTGCAGGCTTGACCTCCTGGGCTCAAGCGATCCTCCTACCTCAGCCTCCTGAATAGCTAGGATTACAGGTGTACCACCACACCCAGCTAATTACAAAAAAATTTCTTTTGTAGAGAGAGGAGTCTCATGATATTTTCCAGGCTGGTCTCAAACTCCCAGCCTCAAGCAGTCATCCTATCTTGGCCTCCCAAAGTGCTGGGATTATAGGCATAAGCCACTGTGCCTGGCCTTGATTTGGGTTTTAAAGCAGAATATCATGACACGAACTCTGTTGATTTTACCGTGTCTTCTCCCCCACTCTCATGCATGTGAGCCATATGATAACCAGGTAAATTCATTCAAGTTGCTGTAACTGCTTCTTTTCAGAGAGGCTCTTGAAAGTCTTTTAGAACTGCTACTCGAAATGGAAATTTTAAGATTGTTTTCCCAAAATTTCTCATTTTTTTTCAAGAATAGACCAAATAAATCACTATACCCCTGCAAAAGAAGTTCTCCATCTCTCCCCTAACCCCAACTTTTTACTGAATGAAATGTAGAGCTTAGGGAATTTTTGAGTGAAAATCAAACACCAGTGAGATTACAGATTTTCCAAAATTTGCTGATTGGACCATTCTTCTTATAATTTCAATTATAGTTGCCCCTCTTTGGAATCTGACAAAACTGGGCAAGTAGACACTCCAAAGCTCCCCTGTCCAGTTCCTAAGTTTTCCTTGTAAACAACCACAGTACCAGGTGTTTCAGAAATGCAGAAGATAGAAGTGCCTTCCCATCCAGCCCCAGGTACCTTATAAATAGGGACCTTGAGTCTCAGAGGGAACTTAATTGAATCTGTTAGTTCTGTTTTGCCCTCCCTTCCCTGACCCCCAAACAAGCTAGAAACAACATCTCACAGAATTACAGCAAAAATATTATTTCACACACTGCTCCCTCATAAAAATCCCTTGCTAAAGCACTCTCAAATCCTGCCGCCTAAGGCAGTTATGATTTTATTTTACAGATGGGAAAATGAAGACCTGCAGAATTGACTTGATGCAGTAAGAACTGGAGGAGCTAGAGTTTGGAAGCCAGACCCATGCCTGGGAATTTGTATTTCTAGGAGCAGAGGGTCTCTCTTCTAAGGAGAATTTTAAGGATGATGTGGCTGAATCAGGAGTTCATCATGAGGTCCTTTTCATGGGTGACCCTCACATCCTGGGACCTGGCCTTTTGTCTGGTTGGAAAATGGTCTTTGGTTAGGACATACTGTCAAGGAATTTATTGCTTTTTTGTTGGTAGTGGCCAAAAGTTGAAACTGAGTGAATTCCCATCAGTAGAGGAATGGCTGAATAGCTTTGACACCTTTATATCATGAATTATAACAGAACCATTAAAAGGATTTTGGCAAATTATGGTAGAATAAAAAAAGAGGGAGAGACTGTGTATGATGTATAATTCCATTTTTGTTAAACAATAACGCCCCCACACTGTCCAAAACTTCACTATTCAGTGTGTGTGTGTGTAAAATTACATGAATATGGGGAGAATTGTGGAAGGATACAAACTAAGATGTTAACACGGGCCGCCTGGAAAGGCAGGGGCTGTGAGTAGCCATGTGGGAGGGTAGGGCGTAGGAGAATAGTATCAGTGATATGATGCTATTTGAATAAATTATACATATGCATATATATGTATACATATGCATAAAGGAATGCACAGAATTATGTGTATAAATAAATAAAAAAAATCAAACAAACTAGAGTGGTTCTAGTAAGAACAAGGCTCTGAGCCCCACATGGGTCAGTTACCTTGGCGAGAGCTTGGTTCCACGGCTGCAGGCTTTACCCTCCAGATCAGCTGTGTTACAAGTGAAGGCCATTGGTCAGAAGTGGGCGGCTGAGTCCAGACACTGCTGCATTTGGCAAATCAATAATTCTAGCTCCTGTCTCTGCTGTGCGTATGTACTGTGTGCTGGCATTCGTATAATTTTTCAAGGTCAGGTATTTTTATCCCTATTTTATGGATGAGGAAAAACAAGGGCAAGTCACTCAAGACCACACAGTGACTGAGTGGTGCTGAAATTCAAGCCTGGGTCTGTGAGTCCAGAACTCCAGCTTCTCAGGTCACTTCCTGATCGCACCTGGAGCTGGGCTCTGCTGCCCTCAGTGGAGTGAGCACCCGCCTGCTTTGATCCAAGCTGAGATTCCCGTGGGGCCCTCTCTCACAGGTGTGGGTCCTACAGTGCAGGTTTTGCTACTTCCACAAACTCAGCCACCACTGAGTGAGCATTCCCTGTGTGTCCTCACCGGCCCCTTTCTTGGTTTTGGGTGGCAAAGCTTCTTATCTGTGTGTAGCAAGAGCAGCCTGTTTGGGCTACTGTCCCCAAGAGAGTGGGGCTGCACAGCAAAGTAGGGCATCCGGTTGTCCTACCTCAGGACAGGTGAAAGGCAGACGGGCTTGTGAGAAAGGAGGACACTTTGGCCAAATCTGACATCTATCTGGCCCCTGCGTCATTTCGCCAGTCCCTCGGGGAGTCAGTGCTTAGGTCTTTCACGTGGATCTCACTTCCACGCCTGCCTGCCACATCCCCAGCCCCGCTAATCACGGAAGAACTCATAGTTGTGGCTTATTCGGTGGGCTGGTAATGTGACTTCCACACAAATTGCCGAATGCCTTTGCTGTTGCCAAAGGTCCCTCAAAGCCAGTATTTAAGATAAAAATTCATAGGTTTGCAAGTTGATATTACTTGGGAGTCCCTCTTTTAGGCTTGGTTTTCTCATTCAGAAAATGGGAATACGATTTTGTTCCCGCTTGCCATTAAAAGAATATATATGGCCAGATGCGGTGGCTCACACCTGTAATCCCAGCTCTTTGGGAGGCTGAGGCAGATGGATCACTTGAGGCCAAGAGTTTGAGACCAGCCTGGCCAACATGGCGAAGCCCCGTCTCTACTAAAAATACAAAAATTAGCTGGGTGTGGTGGCGTGCTCCTGTAATCCCAGCTACTCAGGGGACTGAGGTGCAAAAATTGCTTGAGCCCGGGAGGCAGAGTTTGCAGTGAGCCGAGATCATGCCACTGAACTCCAGCCTGGGCAACAGCGAGATTCTGTCTCCAAAAAAAAAAAAAAAAAAAAAAAAAAAAAAAGAATATATATGATAATATATATGATAGATAATTTGCAAAAAATAGCAAGAGACATACCATATACTGGAAAGATAAGGCTAGTTCTGTGTCTTAAGTTTTGGCTGAAAACAACTGTGCTGCTGATGCCAACAGTAATTGCCTTTTTTTTTTTTGAGACGGAGTCTCGTTCTGTCATCCAGGATGAAGTGCAGTGGTGTGATTTCAGCTCACTGCAACCTTCACCTCCTGGGTTCAAGCGATTCTCCTGCCTCAGCCTCCCGAGTAGCTGGGATTACACCGCCACCTCGGCCTCCCAAAGTGCTGGGATTACAGGCGTGAGTTACTGTGCCTGGCCACTAATTGCCATTTTTATGTAATAAGTCTGGATGTTTCCAGTGTGAATGGACTGCTGTCTTCTCCAGGGTGCTGTTTTTTGGAGACAGGGTCTCACTCTGTTGCCCAGGCAGGAGTGCAGTGGCTCGATCTCGACTCATGGCAACCTCCGCCTCCTGGGTTTAAGTGATTCTCCTGCCTCAGCCTTCTGAACAGCTGAGATTACAGGTGTGCACCACCACGCCCAGCTAATTTTTGTATTTTTAGTAGAGACAAAGTTTCACCATGTTGGCCAGGCTGGTCTCGAACTCCTGACCTCAAGTGATCTGCCCGTCTCGGCCTCCCAGAGTGCTGGAATTACAGGCGTGAGCCACCGTGCCCGGCCTGGTGCTGTGTTTTAACAATGGCATCAATGACTTCCAGGAGCAGGCCCATTTTGTGAAAGTCGACTTGACTGGAGGGGTTAGCTGGCTACAGGGACAGTCTCCCTGGCCCTCACACCCTCTCTGTGTCAGATGGCCCCATTCCCCTGGTGTGGTTGCTGCAGCTGGCACTGGAGCCACTGCTTGCTGCCTTCTTTCACCGCCTGTGGAAGCTGCCACAGATTCCAGGAGGGGAGGACAGAATGAGGAAAAAGCTTGCAGCAGGCTGGGGTCTTCACTCAAGGATCTGGGGCAAAACCTGTCCATGGCCAACTCCTTTCTTCTCTGCCTCCTTTCACTTCATGAAGGCCGCAGACGAACTGTCTGGTCTCTCAGCTTATCTTTCTAGAGAAGAAATTCTTTTGAAGGAGGCTGTGTAAATGTTGTGATTGTGAACAGTGATCTTTTTTTTCTTTCTTTTCTTTTTTTATTTTTTCGAGATGGAGTCTTGCTCTGTCTCCCAGGCTGGAGTGCAATGGCACAATCTTGGCTCACTGCAACCTCTGCCTCCCAGGTTCAAGCGATTCTTCTGCCTCAGCCTCCCAAGTAGCTGGGATTACAGGTGACTGCCACTGCGCCCAGCTAATTTTTGTATTTTTAGTAGAGATGGGGTTTCACCATGTTGGCCAGGCTGGTCTCGAACTCCTGACCTCTGATGATCCACCCGCCTCGGCTTCCCAAAGTGCTGGGATTACAGGCGTGAGCCACCACGCCTGGCCATGATCCTATTATTAGTTCTTTAAGGGCTGGGACTAAGTCTCCAGTACCTGCCACAGTGCCTGATGCATAGTAGGACCCCAAAAAAATGCTTTTCATTGGCATGAAACTCCCTATAGATCCATGGCTGGAATGGTCAAGATACACCTGCTGGAGACAAGTGATCATTTAGGAAAGAGTTTTCTTTCTTTCTTTGCCTTCCTCTGTGCATGACAAAGTGTGGGATCAGTAAACCTTTCCCCCACCCTCATTCTTCTTTGCACTTATTTTACTGAAAAAGTGATTCTGGCCAGGTGTGGTGGTTCATGCCTGTAATCCCAGCACTTTGGGTGGCCGAGACGGGTGGATCACTTGAGGTCAGGAATTTGAGACCAGTCTGGCCAACATGGTGAAACCCTGTCTCTACTAAAAAACACAAAAATTAGCCAGGTGTGGTGGTGCGCGCCTGTAATTCCAGCTACTCAGGAGGCTGAGGCAGGAGAATTGCTTGAACCTGGGAGGTGGAGGTTGCAGTGAGCTGAGATTGCGCCAGTGCACTCCAGTGTGGGCCACAGAAGGAAACTCTGCCTTAAAAAGAAAAAAGTGATTTTATTCTGACCAATTAAGTAAAGGTGATTGGATCTTTCCACACAGCCGTCTCCTGTTTGCATTCTGAGAGGGGATGTTGAAATAGGTTCTGTTTGGTTCTGCTTAAATCTAGGAGTAGATTGACCAGCTTGAGAGAGATTTTCTTCATCCTGAGAGCTAGTCCTGTTAGGAATGTGGAGTCTTCTGAGGTCCCAGATCGAGATAAGACAAGGGCGGGAGCTCCCAATGGGCTCCTAAGCACTGGGTAGGAGGTTTCCTTCAGAGAAAAGGGGGAAAAATTCATCCAGATAGACTGATAAAAGGAGTGACATCACAGTAGGCATGGCAACCACAGGGCAATCATAATCTCCCCACGAGGTGGTCAGAACCCCAAGGGAAGACCTAGTTTCATTGCGCTCCTTCTCCCTTCAGGGCAGGCAGGAGCAGGGAGGCATGGAGGAGGGTGCGCTTATCCAGTGGCTGGAGTAGGCCAGGGGTTTGCCCCCTGCTCTGACAGTTTCTCTGGAGTGCTGGTGTGCCACCTGGAAGCATTCACATTCGGTCACTTTATTATCCAGGGTTGCCCTGGGAGTTTGGCAGGAGAGAGGGAGCAAAATGGGAGAGTGAGGGAAGCATATCACTGGAGAGGGAAGTAGAGATGTGATATGATCTGCAGAACACCGTGCTCTGTCCTCAGTGCCCCCTCCCCAGAGGCTCCAACCCCTTCTGAGAACACAATGATCAGCCTCCTGTTCCTCACTGGCTTCTTCTTTGGACCTGGATTTCCACAGCAGACCTGGAGGCCATGTAAGTTGTGCTAATTTCAAAGCCACTTGTGTCTCCAGCATCTCCCCGAGGCACCCGTGTGGTGACGGCTGGCCCTCGGGATGTCTGGGAATGTGGTCTCCGGCGGGTGTATCTTGAACACAACGCACAGGTTTTAGGTGTCGAAGAGTCAAATAAGGGGGATGAACCATGAGGTTGGTTTTTGGTGGCTTCTGGGTGTCCTGGGCCTGGAAACCATTTCTCCTTTCCTGTCCTTGTGGGGTAACTATGCCCAGGTGAGACCTGGTTGCTGCCTCGCTGCGGGTCAAGTCATAGTTGCATGTATGCCTTGCTGCCACCCTGGCATTTGGGGTTTTACAAGTGGGCGAGGCGGCCCGAGCACAGAGTGAGTAGCCAGGGGAGGCCGATGCTCCATCTTCTCCTGTTCATCAGCGTCTCCTCCCCCAGCTGTGGATGTGTGAAGACATTTAAGGGTCTCCCGGGAAGCAGGCTGTTTGGCTTCTTTACTCAGAATATCTGGAGCTCCTGCTGCAAGCTGGAGAAACTGCTTCCCCAGCTCCTTGTGGCTGTGGGTCACTTTGTAAAGGATGATTGAATTTTTCTGTTGAGAGAAAATTCACACAACATAAAATTCACCATTCTAACCATTTGAAAGTGCGTAATTCAGTGGTGGTTAGTACATCCGCCATCATCCACATCTGATGCCGGAACATTTTCATCACCCTACAAAGAAATCCTGGCCTGGCATGGTGGCCTCATGCCTGTAATTCCAGCACTTTGGGAGGCCGAGGAGGGAGGATCACGAGGTCAGGGGTTTGAGACCAGCCTGGCCAACACGGTGAAATCCCGTCTCTACTAAAAATACAAACATTAGCGGGGCATGGTGGCGTGCACCTGTAATCCCAGCTACTCAGGACGCTGAGGCAGGAGAATTGCTTGAACCCGGGAGGCGGTGGTTGCAGTGAGCCTAGACTATACCACTGCACTCCAGCCTGGGTGACAGAAAAAGAAAAAAGAAATTCTGCACTCAGGAAGCAGACACTCCCCACTCCCCTGTCCCCTCTACCCCTGGTAACCACTAATCTGCTTTTTGTCTCCTTGGATTTCCCTATTCTAGATATTCCATAGAGATGAAATCATATAACACATGTGGCCTTTGTATCTGGCTTCTGTCACTCAGCATAATGTTTTCAGCGTTCAGCCATGTTGTTGCATGTTTCAGTACTCCCTTCCTTTTTATGGCTGAATAATAGTCCCTTGTATGAATACGCCACATTTGATTTACCTATTCATCTGTTGATGGACATTTGCTTTATCTCTGCTTTTTGGCTGTTATGAAGAATGCTAACACAAACTTTCATGTACAAGTCTTGGCGTGGACATATGCTTTCAATTCTTTTGGGTATATACCTAGGGGAGGAGTTTCTGGGTCATATAATAACTCTGTGTTTGAAGTTTTGAGGAACTGCCAAGCTGTTTTCCACAGTGACTGTGGCATTTTGTGTTCCAATCAGTGATGTATGGGGGGTCCAGTTCCTCTACCTCTTTGTGACTCTAGCCATCCCACCAGGTGTGAAGTGGTATCTGATTTTTTTTTTTTTTTTTTTTTTGAGACAGTCTCACTCTGTTACCCAGGCTGGAGTACAGTGGCACGATCTCGGCTCACTGCAACCTCTGCCTCCCCGGTTCAAGTGATTCTCTTGCCTCAGCCTCCCGAATAGCTGGGATTACAGATGCCTGCCACCATGCCCAGCTAATTTTTGTATTTTTAGTAGAGATGGGATTTCACCATATTGGCCAGGCTGGTCTCAAACTCCTGACCTCAAGTAATCCACCCGCCTTGGCCTCCCAAAGTGTTGGCGTTACAGGCGTCAGACTCCATGCCTGGCCTCATTGTGGGTTTTTTGTTTATTTGTTTGTTTGTTTTGAGACAGAGTCTCACTCTGTCACTCGGGCTGGAGTGCAATGGCGCAGTCTCGGCTCACGGCAACCTTCTCCTCCCAGGTTCAATTCTCGTGCCTCAGCCTCTTGAGCAGCTGGGATTACAGGCGTGCACCAGCACACCTGGCTAATTTTTGTATTTTTAGTAGAGAAGGAGTTTCACCATGTTAGCCAGGCTGGTTTCGAACTCCTGGCCTCAAGTGATCCACCTGCCTCGACCTCCCAAAGTGCTGGGATTACAGGCGTGAGCTTCCATGCCCGGCCTCATTGTGGTTTTGATTTGCATTTCCCTAATGACCGAATGATACTTCCTATGTTTTCATGTGTCTATTGGCCATTTGTATGTTTTCTGTGGAGAAATGTCTATTTGTTATTTGCCCATTTTTAAATTGGGCTGTTTGTCTTTTCATTGAGAAATGAGTTTATTTTAACACATGATTATTCCTTCCCCAGCCCCAGCATGGTGTGACCAGCCTGTGGAGATGGAGGAGTTTAGTGGGTCACTTAAAAGCAGGCCTAGGTCTTTACCTCTTTGGCTACTCCTCAACGTTTTTTGGGGTCTCTTCTTCCCTGACTGCCCTTAAATTTTTTTTTTCCCCCAGAGTTTCTGTCCTTGACTCAGTTCTTGTTTTGCCCCCAATTCTCTGGCTGACCTCCTCTGCACCCTTGGCATCCATCCCCGTACATTAATGTTGGTTACTCCCAATGCACATATTCATCCTGGGCTTCTTTCTGGAGCTCCATATTTGTATATCCAACCAGGACCTCAACACGTTCAAAACTCACCACGTTCCTCTGCCAAGCCTTCGCCTCCTCCCGGATTCCCCGTCAGGGTGAGTGTTGTCATCGTCTACCTAGTTGGCCAAGCTAGACGTCATCTGGGATCCTTTCTGTCTCTCTCAGACACATCTGCCCTCTTCCCACCCAGTTTTGTCCATTTGCTGTGGTCAATAGCTCTTCCTAATGTGTTATCAGTTCACTCCCGCTCAGACTGCCTTAGTTCAGGTCTTTGTCATTCCGATAGTCTTCCTAGCTTTGAGTTACTTTCATCCATCTGTACTCTGCCAGAATGATCCAATTATATCACTGCCTACTTAAAACCCTTCAGTGACTCCTTGTTTTCTGAAGGATAAACTTCCAACTCCTTTGTTGGGTGTATGAGCCCTCCTGGATTTAACCTCTACCTTCTCTCCAAGTCATATTCCCCTGCTCATGGTTTCCTCAGACCTTACTTCAGCCATAAGGAATTCCTTGAGGTTTCTTGGATAGGTTGTGTTCCCTCAAATCTTCATGCCTTGAGTGCCCTGCTATTGGTATGAGTTATATATGTGGCCCAGGATAGATTTTCAGGGCTGGATTATGGACCCAGTATGGCCCAAACCAAATACTAATATGGATAGAGAACATGGTGAGTGTGGGTTGGATGTGGATTTTGATTAAATGATTTACTCATGTGAAAGAATTTGCAAATTGAATAGAAATTAAACTATATTGTATTGCATTTATAAACTACCTGTATTGCAAAGGTGATAAAGTCCCCTGGAAAAATTCTGACATTTGCCCTATCTGTAGTTCATGGTTACTTTACTTTTTGCACCAAAAACAACAGAGGATACATGGTGTGACCAGAATATATGTATTTTAGGAGCTGATGGGACAAAATATCTGAAATCGTATTTGGATTCTAAGATTGCTGTAGCTGCGGACTGCTATGAATACTGGCGATCTCTTACTTGTTTGGAGTCCCACCCCTTTAACCTCTGGATTTCTTATAACTTTTTCTAAGGATATTAGTCCCTAGCTAGGGAAACTGAATGAAATTGAAGGAGGAATTCCTACTCTTTTCCAAGTGATTTTTTTAAAAAAATTTTTTATCTTAGATTGCTAGTTAGTGCTTTATCTTTCTCCCTCAAAATTTTTTATTTTTTAATTTTAATTTTTTTTAAAGAAACATGGTCTTACTCTGTTGCCCAGGCTAGAGTGCAGTAGTGCAATCATAGCTCATTGCAGCCTCGAACTCCTGGGCTCAAGCGATCCTCCTGCTTCAGCCTACTGAGTAGCTGGGACTACAGGTGTGAGCCACCATGCCTGGCAATTTTTAATTTTTTTGTTGAGATGGGGTCTTGTTATGTTGCCCAGGCTGGTCTCAAATTCTTGACCTCAAGCGATCCTCCCACCTTGGCTTCCCAAAGTGCTGGGATTACAGGCATGAGCCACCACACCTAGCCCTTCCTCAGATTTTTCTTGGAAAAATGGCAAGCCTTCTGAAAAGTTGTGAAAATAGAGCAATGAACACCAATATCCCCTTTGCTTAGATTCACCATTTACTAGCATTTTGCTACATTTGTTTTCCTCTTTCCCTACCTTTTATGCACATGTGTGCCTGTGTGAGCACACATCTATATTTTCAGGAAAAGTGAGATTTAGCTCATAGTACACCTTCCACTTCTTGGTATGTTTTCAAGCCTCTGGCAAAACCCAGTGCCAAAACTGAAGCCTTGAGTTCTTGGCTCAGTGCTGCTACTGACGGGAGCATACTTGGATGATCCTGAACAAGTTCCTTCCCCCTCTCTGAGCCTCAGTTTCCCCATCAATGAAACGAGGGCTTGGATCCCCTGTTCTTGAAGCCCTCTCCTTGTACTCAATATTCTACAGCCCTGTGATGGCCAGAAAAACCCAGCCCTTTGGGAGATTGTCAGAAGATACTTAATGTACTTGTGAGATGAACCCCAGAAATTTATTGTTAGCTGGGCTCTGTCCAGGACTGTGTCTGGTTTGTAACAAGGAGTGTGTGTTTTTTGTTTTTTTTTTCCCTTGGGAGAGCTACCAGTGCTTTGCCTGCCAAGGCGGGGAGGTGGTCTTGGTGGGGTTTCTACTAGAAGGAAATGGCAGGAACTCTGACCTGCTTGCTGTCAAGTAAGCAGACAGAGAGGCTCGGAATCCCCTCCCGCGTCACGTTTCCTTGAGGTGCCTGCTTGTTTAATCTGCCGTTTGCCTTGCTTCCCCCAACGCCCTTTTATAGCTCCTTTTGTTCAAGGATCTTGCCACCTCCTTTTTCTGTCCCTGGCCCGCCTCCAGGTTAAATATCCAAGAAGGACAGCAGTAGCCTGAAGATGCTGATGACATGGGGGACGTTCATGGCTGGCCCTGAAGAAAGGCTCTCATAGGTGGGGGCGATTGATACGGCTTCCACAGTGCTCCCACCCACAGAGCCCAGGGCAGAGGCCCGAGGTGCGCCAGGCTTATTTTACAGCTTTAATTCCCATGAGCAGGATTGGAGAAAGGGTTAGTAAAGGAGAAAAGGACTCAGATGTGTCGGGTTTCAGGGAAGGAACTAGTGAGATCGGGGTGACAAGGGGTTCATTTGTCCATTTGGTAAGTGTTTATTGAAAGTCCACTATATTATGTGTAAGGTCCTTTTGACCCAGAAAGTCTGAAATTTGGGTAGCAGTCATTAATTTGTATTAGATACCACATATGTTATAGAAGTGGTAGAAATAATGTTAATAATGTCATACTTCCGTTCCCGATGGTCACATGCTAAGTGCGTCACATCTATTCCATTGAATCCTCCCCACAACTGGGATGGGGTGGTATTGTCCTCGCTGTGCAGGGGAGGAAAGGGAGGCTTGGAACAGTGCCTTGCTCAAGGTCAGGGAATGAGGAGAGGTGGAACTGGGATTTGAGTTCAAGTCTGATTTCAAATTCCACATTCTTCACCTCTGAGTCTCTTGTTCCCAAAAGCTGTTTATGGACTGGTGGCAGTCTGTGATAGTTTTCACTGATCCAAAATATAAGGACAGTGTAACTGGATTTTTAAGAAAGCGTACTTTAAAAAATTCAGTGGTTCTGAACTGGTGCAATTTTGCCCACAGCTCCCCCTTCTCCTTCCCCTCCACTGCCATAGCAAAGAATTCTTCAGTCCAGTGTTAATTGGTCTGAGGTTGAGGAACTCTGATTTAATTTGGAAAATTCATCTTAAAATTATATTATCCTGACTTTGGGGATATGTATTCAATGTTCTTTCTTTTAAGAAACAATGGTGTTAAAACAAAAGTTGGCAAGACCACATTGAACGCTCCAATTTTGTTGTTGTTGTTAGAAATATCTTGGACTGTGGCTGGGCATGGTGGCTCACGCCTGTAATCCTAACACTTTGGGAAGCCGAGGTGGGCGGATCACTTGAGATCAGGAGTTTGAAACCAGCCTGGTCAACATGGTGAAACCCCATCTCTACTAAAAAATACAAAAAAGTTAGCTGGGTGTGGTAGCAGGCGCCTGTAATCCCAGCTACTTGGGAGGCTGAGGCAGGAGAATCACTTGAACCTGGGAGGTGAGGTTGCAATGAGCAGAGATCACGCCACTGCACTCCAGCCTGGGTGACAGAGCGAGACTCTGTCTCAAAAAAAAATTATCTTGGATTGTGAAATTCAAGCATCTAGGAATTACTTTATCTAGGAATTAAATAAAAAATACTGTTGGCCAGATGCAGTGGCTCACGTCTGTAATCCCAGCACTTTGGGAGGCTGAGGCAGGCAGATCACAAGGTCAGGAGTTTGAGACCAGCTTGGCCAACATGGTGAAACCCTGTCTCTACTAAAAATACAAAAAATTAGCTGGGCGTGGTGGTGGGCACCTGTAATCCCAGCTACTTGGGAGGCTGAGGCAGGAGAATCACTTGAACCTGGGAGGCAGAGGTTGCAGTGAGCCGAGACCGTGCCACTGCACTCCAGCCTGGGCAACAGAGCAAGACTCTGTCTCAAAAACAAAAAACTGTTTATTAGGGATTAAAGAAGGCAAATATCTCATGTTGTAAGTAAGGCAATGCCTGGTGATGGGTTCTTGGGGCTCCTGGAGTTTGATTTAATAACAAATATTTATTGACCACATATTGTCTTGTACTGTGAGAGGCCTTATGGGAGGTCAAAAGGAATTTTGCCCTAATGATCTTAATAATCTCCATAGGACAAAAAGTGCACATGTATAAAGTGGAAAACAAGGAAAGCCTGGCAGATGATGGTTAAATTTATTTGCTGATCAATGTGAATGAGGCAGACTAAGAGGTTTCTACCAGAAGGAACTTGAGCTTCTTGATTCGAGTTAGCCATCAAGTAACTTGAGGTGACCTTGGGCAAGGCTTTCTTACTGGTCTCCTATATTGGACGAGGGCCCCTCAAGCCCAAGTGAGAAGGCTGTTTCTATTATCTCCTTTTCCTCCTATCTCCAGTGGGACACCCAGTCCTGCGAATTCTATTTTGGGAATGTTTCTAGAGTCTGCCCAGTCTCTTCCCAGTCCAGTGCTTTCTCCATCCCGTGGCCAGGGTAATCTTGCTGAAACACAAATCTGATCACGTCACCCACCTCTGCTTAAAACCTTCAGTGATTTCCTCATTGCCCCCAGGATAAAGTCCAAACTCCTTGGCAAGGCACTCTTGGCTCCGTTGTTTGGGCCCAGCCTCCCTCTTCAGTCTTTCTCAGCCTTTGCCCTTCATTGCTCCTCACCCCATGGTCTGGATGCCCCAGATGGCTCACTCTTCTCTGTGCATAGATTGCTGGCCCACTCTCTGGAATCCCCTTTCCTCTCTTTTCTACCTGGTAAAATCATATTAAGTTTTTTTTTTTTTTTAAGACATGGTCTCACTTTGTTGCCCAGGCTGCAGTGCAGTGGCACCATCATGGCTCACTGCAGCCTCCACCTCCCAGGCTCAAGCGATCCTCTTGCCTTGGCCTCCCAAAGTGTTGAGATTATAGGTGTGAGCACCACACCTGGCCCATGATAATCTTTTAATGCTTGTCTCAATCTTCTCCTCTAGAAGATGCCCCAGACCCTGGAGACAGGGACCACGTCCTCACTTCTCCTCCCCATAGCTCTATGAACCTGTTGAAGGCAGGATCTGCTGTTTTTCTGCTATGTTGCATGACCCTGTACCCAGCATGGTGCTTAGCACATAGCAGGTACTCAACCACTGTTTGTTGAGTAGAAAACAAATGGAGAAAGGAGGGAAAATTTAAAGTGGAAATAATGATGTTTAACCTTTGTTACCATCCAAGGTTGCTTGTAGCATGAACATGAGATAATATTTTTTGAAGAACTCTGAAAAAAATGTGAGGCTAAACAAATGCAAAGCAAGGTATTCATTATTGTTTTCAAAAGTAGAGATGATTAACCTTTGAATTATTATATCACCATTACACATTGTATTTTTTTTTAAGAGTCAGGGTCTTGCTCTGTTGCCCAGGCTAGAATGCAGTGGTGTGACCTTGGCTTACTACAGCCTAAAGCTCTTGGGCTCAAGTGATCCTCCTGCCTCAGCCTCCTGAGATGCTCGGAGTACAGGCATAAACTACTACAGCTGGCACACACTGTATTTAAGAGTAAAGGGGGGCCAGGCGCAGTGGCTCACACCTGTAATCCCAGCACTTTGGGAGGCTGAGGCAGGCAGATCACCTGAGGTCAGGAGTTTGAGACCAGCCTGGCCAACATGGAGAAGCCCTGTCTCTACTAAAAGTAAAAAAGAAATTAGCTGGGCATGGCGGTGGGCACCTGTAGTCCCAGCTACTTGGGAGGCTGAGACAGGGAGAATCGCTTGAACTTGGGAGGCGGAGGTTGCAGTGAGCCGAGATTGTGCAGAGTGAGACTCTGTCTCAAAAAAAAAAAAAAAAAAAAAAAAAAAAGAGTAAAGGGAATGGTTGTTGAGTACTAGGAGTTGGTATACCAAGTAGAAAAACCCAGGTGGCCAGAATATTGCACAATTCAGAAAAGATATGCCTTGTTGGTGTAGGAAGCAAACACAGCTTGAAATGTGACTCAGTGGCATGGACCTGCCTGGAGGCCTCTAGTGACAACACACCCTTTTCTTTTCCAGAACTAGGGCTGAAGACAGAGAGGGCCATGGCAGGAGGGAGGAGGGCCTTGGTTTTCTTTCTCTTGTGTGTTCCACTTTCTTCTCTTTCTGATTCTTCCATTTTCTGAATATTGTCTGTCGTAACCACCCCAAGCGGAACATGGCACATGAAAGAAGAAATGGAAAAAGAAGCTGGACTTATACAGTGGTTTGCAGAGGCTATTGTACTAACTTTTACGATTGATATCTGTGAATGTGTCTTTTTTTTTTTTTTTTGAGATGGAGTTTCGCTCTTGTTGCCCAGGCTGGAGTGCAGTGGCACAATCTTGGCTCACTGCAACCTCCACCTTCCAGTTTCAAGCGATTCTCCTGCCTCAGCCTCCCGAGTAGCTGGGACTACAGGCACGCGCCACCATGCCCAGCTAATTTTTTGTATTTTTAATAGAGACGGGGTTTCACCATCTTTGCCAGGATGGTCTTGATCTCATGACTTCGTGATCCACCCACGTCTGCCTCCCAAAGTGCTGGAACTACAGGCGTGAGCCACCGCGCCCGGCCATCTGTGAATGTGTCTTGTTCCCAGTACCACCCCCTCCAGGCTTTAATTCCATCTTGGGCAGGTATTTTCTTTGTATATTTTTGCACCCTCTGCAGATGCCTTGCACATAGTAGGTGTTCATGAATGTTTGCTGAATGAATGAATGAGCTCCTGAATAAGAATGAAGTTTACCTCTTGTGCAAATTCCTTGATGCATCATCTCTCCTCTCCTTTTCGCTGAAAAGAGGGCTTCTTCCTCCTTTTAGCCAGATCAGGATAGAGGCAATTTTCTTTAGCACTTCCTCTGGGCAACTCTTATTGTCACCTATAGGTTTGCGTCTAGGGGCTGGATCCCTTGCTTTTCAGACCCCTGAAGGTTGCCCCATCACAGAAAGGAGGAGCGGAGAGTAGGCAGAGTGCAGGGAGGAAGCCTAGAGGATTAATTGGTTAAACTTTATTACAAAGGCTGGTCCTATTGTTTACGGGCCATTAAAAACCATTATCATCTTCCCAGGCCAGGCAGACAGCAGTCAGCTGCTTTGATGCATGTCTTAGAGAGATAAGGAAAATTTATCCCTTGTTTTGACTTCACAATTTCTTCTTGGTTTATTATCTGACATGCTATTCAACTTTCTCTCCACATGTCCCTGATCTCAAGACAACTCTTTCAAGTTGTTGGCAGGGGAGGTTCAGGTTAGAATCCTACAATTTTAGACTTGGAAGAGCCCGCCGAGATCAATGACTGTCCCTAACCTGCCCCCTTCCTTTCCCGCCCCTGCCCCCATCTGTATTTTTCCTCCATGGCAGAGCAGTTCCTGGACTCTCAAGTAATTTGCACTTATTGATCTCTGAGAAGGGCAGACTTTTCTTATGACCTTCAGTTAATCCTCCCACCTCCATGGCCACATCTACTCTGCAGAGAGGACTTCCTAGAGCTCTCCTGCCTCATTCCAAATGACCAGCTCCTTACTTAGTATCCACAGGGTACTGTGTATGTAGATAGAGTTATCTTAACTGCCATCTCCTGTGATAGGTGTATCTAGGGTTCCCCTGGGTGGGCTGGGCTGGGCTGGGCTGGGCTGGGCTGGGCAGAGCCTGTGGGGGCCCTCATCCACATCCCAGACAATCTGTCTTCCCCAGGGGCCTTCTTGAGGGTGTGACTTTCCATCTGGACAGAAACAGGCAATGGGATGTAGGCTGCACCCGCCCTGCGGTGTTCAGGTGATCCTGTGAAATTTTCTATGTTCTAGAACTGAAAAGAAGCCCTGAATTGATACTGAACTTACTTTTAGCTGGTTGATGAAACAATTTGAGTGTGCTCTGTGAGAGAGTGTGAGCCAGGTTGGCAGGTATTAGGCACTCACATGGTTGTTGAGCAAATGAATGAATGGATGCAGGAATCAAAAATGTCCGCCAGTACCAGGTTGCTCCTTGTGGGTCTGTATATTCAATTCAATAAGTATTTACTGAGTGTCTGCTCTGGGGAAGAGCTGGTGCTGGGGGATGGGGTCAGAAAGATGTATAAGATCTAGTTCTTGACATCTGAGAGTTTACATTTAGAAGAGAGGGAGACTAATTATAAGACAAGGCATAGGCTGGGCACGGTGGCCCATGCCTGTAATCCCAGAACTTTGGGAGGCTGAGACAGGTGGATCACCTAAGGTCAGGACTTCAAGACCAGCCTGGCCGACATGGTGAAACCCCATCTTTACTAAAAATACAAAAATTAGTTGGGCATGGTGGCATGCGCCTGTAGTCTCAGCTACTTGGGAGGTTGAGGCAAGAGAATCGCTTGAATCCGGGAGGTGGAGGTTTCAGTGAGCCAAGATTGAGCCACTGCACTCCAACCTGGGCAACAGAGTGAGACTCCATCTCAAAAAATAAAAAAAAAGGCATATAGGAAAGCGTAGGCTGGTCGTGGTAGCTCACGCCTGTAATCCCAGCACTTTGGGAGGCTGAAGTAGGCGGATCACCTGAGCTCGGGAGTTCGAGACCAGCCTGGCCAACATGGTGAAACCCCATCTCTACTAAAAATACAAAAATTAGCCAGGGGTGATGGCAGGTGCCTGTAATCCCAGCCACTTGGGAGACTGAGGAGGAGCAGGGCTTGAACTGAACCCGGGAGGCAGAGGTTGCAGTGAGCCAAGATGGCGCTATTACACTCCAGCCTGGGCGATAGAGTGAGACTCTGTCTCAAAACAAACAAACAAACAAACAAAAAAAAAAAAAGAAAAAGAAAACGTAAATGGAAAAAGAGATACAAGCAACTTGTTGAAGCGACATAAAGAATGGTGGGTTAATTCTGAATGAGAGCATCAGGAGAACTTCCCAGAGGAGATGATTTTTAAGGATTTCCATGAACAGGGAGGAGAAGGGGGGAAAGGAGATACTGGTGAACAGCAAGTACAAAAGTGTGGACACGTGAAAGTGTCCTTAGCTTGCCCCAGACCAGTCCTGGAAGCCCCAGTCCAAACCCACATCCCTCTTGGAGCCAGGGTGGCTCCAGATCCATCTCATACAGCACCAAATAATCCCAGGAATTTTTCCCGGCATCTGACCCTGGGGCTGGGCTTGGGGCAGACATTCCTTTCCTCCTCTTTCCTCCACCACTTTGCAGGTGCCCCTTGTTTCTGGATTTTGCTCTCCTTGGTGGTACCCTGGAGTTGGAGAAGGTAGATAAGCTTCCAGTGCCTGATCCCTCAGCTTCTAGAAGATATTTCTTTGCCTCTCCTCACACTTCCTCATTGCTAGATAAGAACCACCCCTTCTTCAGGCTTTGCTCATGTGGTCCCCTCTCCTAGAAAGCCTTCCATCCATTCCTGTTTGTCCAAATGCATCCACTCTTCCCCAGTGGCTCAGCTTCCCTACAGCTGGAAGGAAGCATAGCATTTTCTGAGCTCCCTAAGCATAGATCAGCCTCTCCCTATTTCTCACAATGATTGCCACTGGGTGCCTGTCCCATAGATGAAGGTAAGAATGGAGTTTCCTACTCTCTGTTTTATTGCAAACAAGTATCCAGGGTAAATGTGATTTTTAACACATTAAAACACTCATACACCTCCCTAGCCCCCAATTTTTCCTTGTTCTCAAGGTAACTGCTTAGTTACATTCCAGGGAGTGGGAGGAAGCCAAGAAAGAATTCTTAGTCTTGGGGAGCAGGATCGAGTGCAGAAATGTCTTGGAAATGGAAGATTCCCCTGACTCCTCGCCACGCAATGCTGCAGCCCGTATATAACAGTGGGCGAGCTCCCCCTCGCCGCCTTGCTTATCTCTACTTCACATTCACAGACTCACCAGCCTGGAGTCTCTCTGGATGTTGGCCAAGCCAGTTGGGAATGCATAATAGCTGAGATATGGGATGGGACGCGTCCGCCATGTCCTTGCATGCTGCAGTGAAGGTCTCCTTCTCTCCCTTGTTCCTCCCTCGTAGCCTTTTCTCTGGTATTGGGAAGTAATCTTTCTGGTCTCACATCTCTAATATTTGAAAGAAGGGAGACCTAGATTCCATGTTGGCAGCTGGCTGTGCTAGTAATTAGGGACATCCCTTGGAGAACTGGAGGGAGGTTTGGGTGAGCAGATTTAGACCAGATGGCGTCCAGCTAGCTGCCATTTTGAAACCTCAGCTACAGGGCCTGGTGAGCTTAAAACCTTCCCTGTAACCACCACCTTCCCTCGCCAACCCATTTGGTTTTTGTGACTAAAACTTTGGTTTTGCTTTAGTGTCTTTCTGTTTTGCTTTTTGTACTGGTTGCAATAGGGATGAGAAAAGGAAAGGCCTCTCAAAAGAAGATTCTAGTCCGATGGGAGCGAGGGCTTCTGGGAAATTGGGTGAGATCTTCATGAGTCATGTTGATGCTCAAAAAGTTTTGGATTTTGGAGGATTTTGCATTTCAGATTTGTGAATTTGGGATGTTCAACCTGTAGGGGGGTTAGGACTTCAACATATAAAGGGGATATAATGCAACGTATAACACTCTCTTTCCTTCTAAAAAACTCAACTCATAATACTCTCCTTCCTTCTAAGAAACTCAATCCATAACACTCCCCTTCCTTCTAAAAAAAAATCTGTGTTTTTGTTTTTGGTGGTGTTTTTTTGAAAAAGAAAAACCTGTATATGGTAAAAAATTTAAACACTACAGAAAGTAATTGAGAGCAAAAAGTAAATCTAAGTCTCTGTCACCCCTGTTTTCACATCCTCAGACCCTAGTCTTTCAGTATAGACTTACCTGTTTTGTTTTTTCTTCTGTATCTTTCTGGTGATGTTATATAAACATAAATATTTATGTGTCCTTTTATTTTTTTCTCCCTTCAAATAGTAGCATTCCAAGTGCCCTGTTCTGCACCTTTAAAAATTTTTTAACAATCTAGGACATAGATTATTTTATTTTATTTTTTTGAGATGGAGTTTCACTCTTGTTGCCCAGGCTGGAATGCAGTGGAGCAATCTTGGCTCACCACAACCTCCACTGGCTTCCAGGTTCAAGTGATCCTCCCACCTCAGCCTCCCGAGTAGCTGGGATTACAGGCATGTGCTACCACGCCCAGCTAATTTTTTTGTATTTTTTAGTAGAGATGGGGTTTCACCATGTTGGCCAGGCTGATCTTGAACTCCTGATCTCAGGTGATCCACCCACCTTGGCCTCCCAAAGTGCTGGGATTACAAGCCACTGCGCCCAGCCTAGGACATAGATTAGATCTGGCCTGTTTTTAACAGATGCATAGCATTTCATTGTGTGGACATACCATGATTTATTTAATTTCACCTCTTTTTTTCAATACAAGATCTCACTCTGTCACCCAGGCTGGAGTGCAGTGGCGTGTCATAGCTTACTGCAGCCTTGAACTCCTGGGCTCAAGTGATCCTCTGACTTTAGCCTTCTGAGTAGCTAGGACTACAGGTACACACGACAGTGCCTGGCTAATTAAAAAAAAAATTTAGTGGAGATGAGCTCTCGCCATGTTACTCAGTCTAGTCTTGAACTCCTGGCCTCAAGCAGTCCTCCTGCCTTGGTCTCCCAAAGCTCTGGGATTACAGGCATGAGCAAGTACACTCGGCCTAATTTCACCTCTCTTGATGAACATTTAGATGATTTCCAATATTTGCTGCAATGAAACAATTTGTTTATGTGTTTCTCTACCCATAAGTGTAAGTCATCTACACATCTCACTCCTTTCTAAGGTTCTTATATAGTGTATACGTTGAGTATATTTGAGAAATATTTATTAAGTTTGTACCATGGACAATATTCGATAGTTCATCATATTGATGCCAGCGTTTACTCAACCTAGTGGCTTATCCTAGATTGTTTCTTGCTAGAAACAAGGTCAGTAATAAAAATTCTTTTTTGTCCCTTTTGTTGGTGGAGAATGGGGTCTTGCTATGTTGCCCAGGCAGGTCTTGGACTCCTGGGCTTAAGCTATCCTCCTGCCTCTACCTTGTTAAGTGCTGGGATTATAGGACTGAGCCGCCATGGCCAGACTTGTTTTTTCTTGTTTTGAGACACAGTCCTACTCTGTTGCCCAAGCTGGAGTGCAGTAGTGTGACCTCAGCTCACTGCAGACTCTGCCTCCCAGGCTCTGCCTCCCACCTCAGCCTCCCAAGTAGTGTGCATGCCACCACGCCCGCTAATTTTTTTTTTTTTTTTTTGAGATAGAGTTTCACTCTGTTGCCCAGGCTGGAGTACAGTGGCGTGATCACAGCTCACTGCAACCTCTGCGTCTCAGGTTCAAGCGATTTTCATGCCTCAGCCTCCCAAGCAGCTGGGATTACAAACATATGTGCCACCACACTCGGCTAATTTTTGTATTTTTGGTAGAGATGGGGTTTCATCATGTTGTCCAGGCTGGTCTTGAACTCCTGGTCTCAAGTCATCTGCCTGCCTCAGCCTCCCAAAGTGCTGGGATTACAGGAGTGAGCCACTGTGCCTGGGCTAATTATTAAAATTTTTTGTAGAGATGGAGTTTCATCATGTTGCCCAGGCTGGTCTCGAACTCCTGACCTCAAGTGATCCTCCCAGCTTGACCTCCCAAAGTGCTGGGATTATAGGTGTGAACCACAGTGCCTGGCTGAAAACTCTTGCCTGTAAATCTCTAATTTTGATCATTCATCTTTGTTTATTCCTTAGCACAGGTTTCTAGAAGTGGGTCAAATAATCTGAAAATTGTTAAGGTTTTGGGTCTTAACTTTAATGTTCCTGCTAAAGCTTATATAATAGTGTTCCAAATTGTGTTCTAGAAATGTATCAATTTATATTTTTACCAGAAGAGTGCTCATCTTGTCCTACAATACTAGTATTATCATTAAAGTAAAAACAAAACAAAAATTATCATCAAAGCAAAAAACAAAAACAAAAAAACTCATTTGATAGGTGAAATTTGCTCATTTGGTTTGTGAAATACAGTATTTCATTGCTTTAATTTTAACCTGTTTATTAGATATTCTTATTTCCTCTTTTGTGGCTTTTCTGTGTCTTTTGGCCATTTGCCTGTTGAGGTCTTAATGCTTTTTATATCAATTTGCATGACATTTTGTATATTAAGAATATTAATTTGTCATACATGTGGCAAATATTTTCCCCAGTTTGCATCTTGACTTTTAAAAAGTTCTTTTAAAACTATGGTATAATTTACATTCAATAAAATGTACTCATTCAAAATATATAGTTCTATGAATTTTAACAAATGTGTATACCCATGTAACCACAATAGAATATTATTATTATCCCCAAAAGTTCCTTAGTGCCTCTTTGTACTCACCCCCTCTCTGTAACTGTAGATTAATTTTGCTGATTCTAAGAGTTCATGTAAACACAATCATACACTATCTACCTTTTGTTTTTTAATAAGACAAGTTCTCACTTTGTCGCCCAGGTTGGAGTGTAGTGGTGCAATCTCAGCTCACTGCAACCTTTGCCTCCTGGGCTCAAGTGATCCTCCCACCTCAGTCTCCCTAGTAGCTGGGACCACAGGTACATATCACCACACCTGGCTAAATTTTTGTATTTTTAGTAGAGATGGGGTTTTCCCATGTTGCCCAGGCTGGTCTTGAACTCCTGGGCTCAAGCAATCCACTCGCCCCAGGCCTTCCAAAGTGCTGGGATTATAGATGTGAGCCACCATGCCTGACCACTATCTACTCTTTTGAATCTAGCTTATTTCACTCGGCCTTTTAAAAAAAAAGTCTTATCCACATTGTTGTGTACATTAGCAGCTAATTTTTATTTTTATTTTTTTCAGTCCTGATACCAATGCAGTAACATCTTTTTTTTTGCTGAGTTTTTCATCATATGAATTTTCCAAAATATTGTAATCATTCACCAGTTGATGGACATTTGGGTTGTTTCCAGTTTTTGGCTATTATGAATAAAGTTGCCACGAGCATCTGTGTATGTCTCTTTTTTGACATACCATTTTCCCCCATTTCTTTTGGATAAATACTTAGTAGTGAAACTTCTCAATCATATGGTAAATGCATGTTTTTAGAATAAGCAGCTACCATACTATTTTCTAAAGTGGTTGCACCATTGCATATTCCCGTCAGCAGTGGCTGTGCTTTTGGTTGCTATATATTCTCACCAGCAGGTGACATTACCAGTCTTTTGAATTTTAGCCATTTTAATGGGTGTGAACGGTAGCTTACTGTAGTTTTAGTGGGCATTTCCCTAATGACTGATGATGCTGAGCATATTTTCACGTGCTTATTGGCTATCTTCTTTTGTGCAGGGTCTGTTCAAATCTTTTGTTGTGTTGTTTGCCTTATTACTAAATTGCTAGAGTTCTTTATATATTCTGGATATAGATCCTTTGTCATATATGTATGTATGTACATGTATGTGCTATATATGTACTGTGTATACATGTATCTATATACTGTATGACTATACTATGTACATATATGTACTATGAATCATTTCTCCCAATCTGTGGCTTGTCTATTCATCCTCTTAACAACATCTTTTAAAAAAATTGTAGTAAAATATACGTAACATAAAAGATGCCATTGGAATCATGTTGAGTATTTAGTGGTGTGAATTATACTCCCATTGTTGTACAACCATATCTCCTATCTTAAACAATGTCTTTTTAATTTTTAAATTTTTATCTTTTTAGAGACAAGGTCTTTGTTGCCCACACTGGAGTGCAATGGCATGATCAAAGCTTACTGTAACCTCGAACTCGTGGGCTCAAGCAGTCCTCTCGCCTCAGCCTGCGATGTAGCTGGGACGGCAGGCATGAGCCACCACACCTGGTTAATAAACTTCTTTGTAGAGATAGGGTCTTTCTGTGTTTCCCAGGCTGGTCTGGAATTCCTGGTCTCAAATGATCCTCCCGTCTTGGTCTCCCAGTGTGCTGGGATTACAGGTATGAGCCACCACACCCAGCATAACAATGTCTTTTGAAGAGCAGAAATTTTTAATTTTGAAGTCCAGGTTATTTTTCCCTTTTGTGATTCTTATTTTCTGTGTCCTAAGAATCTTTGCCTACACCAAGGTTATGAAGATTTTCCCCATGTTTTCTTCTGGAAGTTTGTTTTTTTTTTTGAGGCAGAGTCTCGCTCTGTTGCCCAAGCTGGAGTGCAGTGGCTCGATCACTGCTCACTGCAACTTCTGACTCCTGGGTTCAAGGGATTCTTGTGCCTCAGCCATTTGAATAGCTGGGATTACATGTGTGTACCACCATGCCCAGCTAATTTTTGTATTTTTAATAGGGGTTTCACCATGTTGGCCAGGCTGGTTTCAAACCCGTGACCTCAAGTGATCTGCCCACCTTGGCCTCCCAAAGTGCTGGGATTACAGGCCACCGTGCTTGGCCTTCTTCTGGAATTTTTCTAATTTTAGCATTTCTTTCATTCTGTGATCCATTTTGTTATTTTTTGTGTACAACATGAAGTAAAGGGTATGTTTACTTTTAAAATATGGATATCCAGTTAAAAGAAGTGAAAATAGGTAAATGTTAACTATTATTCATTTTATTCTCCTCTGATTTACTCCATTGCTATGTAGCCTAGAAATTCCAGCCCCATTCAGCTATCAGATAGATATTCATCTATATAATCTGGATTTTTTTTAACCTCAATTCTTTGTGTGTGTGTGGTTTTTGTTGTGAGGTGGTGTCTTGCTCTGTTGCCCAGGCTGGAGTGCAATGGTGCAATCTTGGCTCACTGAAACATCCATCTGCTGGGTGGGTTCAAGCAATTCTCCTGCCTTGGCCTCCTAAGTAGCTGGGACTACCGGCTTGCGCCACCATGCCTGGCTAATTTTTGTATTATTATTATTATTTTTTAGTTGAGACGGGGTTTTGCCATGTTACCCAGCCAGGCTGGTCTCGAACCTCTGACCTCAGGTGATCCACCCACCTTGGCCTCTTAAAGTGCTGGGATTACAGGTGTGAGCCACCGTGCCCAGCCATTAACCACAATTCTTTGATTCACTTGGAATATATTTAGGTTGATGTAAGAGCTGGGGGTCTAGTTTGATTCTTCCTACCCCCATAGCTAATTAAATAGTGGGAAAGGGAGTTCCAGATATAGTGGGGACATAAAAGTGGGAAGAGAGTTGAGTTTTGGGAAACAGGGCCATTTAGGCTTACCTGGGTTGGTGAGTCATGGGAGACAAGCTGGAGAGCTTCACTGGGGCAGCCCGTGGAGGACCCCTGGACGCTGTCCCCCCGGGGCTGTGAGCCTCTGAGAGAGGTGATTGGAGTGGTGCTTTTGCATCATGTAGGTTGGCTCTGACTGAGGAGAGACCGGAGGGATGAGGAATGAAAATGGTTGCTGGTGATTTCTAGCTTCAGAGGGGGGCAGATGGCAAGAGAAACTGAGGATGAGATGGTGGGTGGAGTAGAGAATTGCCTGTTCTTGATTTCAGAAAGGGTGAAGCTGGAAGGAGGAATTAAAGATTGATCTTGATATTCCAGTTGGAATGTTGAGTATAACATCTCTGCTTTAACCAGAAATAAAAGATGACAGGAGGAGAAACTGGCTTTTCAAGGGGATGAAGTTGAAAAGTAATGACAATTATTCACTTTTGGAGAAAATTTGTGACATTTCTTGAGAGTATAATCAGAACAGTTCCTTATAATTTGCATAGCATTTTAACATTTCCAAAGTGCTTTTACATACTACTTCCTTTTTTTTTTTTCCATTTATGCCTGATGTATCAGGATAGGCAGGGCAGGTATTACCCTGTTTTCCATCCTGCAGATGAAGGAGGGGAAGCTCAGCTAGGTGGGGGGTTTGCCTGAGTTTTGTTCTGAGTCAATAGGCTCTTCTGGTATCAAGGGGTGGGTTGGGGGTAAGGTTCTGATCTTGGCTTCTACCCACTTGCTGTATAAGAAAGTACCTCAGCTTTCTGAGGGTTGGAGAATGTGGGGTGGAGAATATCTGCACCATTAGACTCATACGATGGAGAAGGCCAGATAACATAACGTAAGTGTAAGAATGCTGATGAATATAAAACAGGATGCAAATGTCAATCTTATTAAGGTTATGATGTTATCCTGCTGGAGCTGGGAATCTGTTGGTCCCAGGGTGGGGAGGTGGGGAGGCCCAGGGTTCTGCCTGGCTCCACAGGCTTAGCTGCTGGTGCAGTGTACAAGGGTGGGAGTGCAGGGCTCTGAGACAAGGTGGAGATGACTATCCACGGTCAAGGCAGGGAAGTCTGAGGGCTCACGTGGACTCTGGATTTGGATTCAGAGGCCTTAGGGTTGAACATGATTTTCACTGTGTCCTGGACCTTGGGTAAGATATTGGATCTCTCTGAATCTCAGTTTCCTTATCTTCGAAATGTTACATTACACACCCTGGAAATATGGAACTACTTATATGTTTCCCATACTTGCTGTGGCTCTGTGCCTTGATAAAGTCCTGTTCCCTTAAGCAGTTAGATAGAAGATGCAACACAACTGGCTTTGGAGGAAGGGGCCATGGGTCAAGGAATGCAGGTGGCTTCTAGGAGCTGAAAAAGATAAGGAAACTGACCTTGATGCTGGCCCAGTGAGACTGATTTCGGACGTTCTGACCTCCAGAACTGTAAGACAGTAAATCTGTGTTGTTTTAAGCTACTGAGTTTGTAGTAATTTGTTAGAGTAGCAATAGGAACTGATACCATGCGTTTAAGACTTATCCATGTTACTGCATGTATGGGTGCGTTCCACTGTGTGGCTGCATGGCAACTTGCTTATTCATTTACCAACTGATGAGCACTTGGGTGTTCCCAAGTTTTGGCCATTATGCAGAAAGCTGCTATGAATATTCCTATTTATAGGTCTTTGTGTAGACATATGTTTTTATTTCTTTTGAGCAAATCTCTGGGAGAAATGAAAATATAATTGTATATTTAACTTTAAAAGAAATTGCCAAACTGCTTTCCAAAGTGGCTGTACCAGTTAGCATTCCCACACGCAGTGTGTAAGAGTCGTAGTTATTCTATATCCTTGCCAGAGCTTGGCATTGTCAGCCTTTTAAATTTTAGCCATTATAATAGATGTTTAACGGTATCTCATTGTGATTTTAATTGCATTTCCCTGCTAACTAATAATGTTGAACCTTTTTTTTTTGATGTGCTTTTTGGCCATCTGTATCTTTTCTTTTGTGAAATGTCTGTTCAGTTCTTTGACCTTAAAAGAAATGGAGTCATTTGTCTTCTTATTGAGTTTTAGGAGTTCTTTATATATTCTGACTAAACATCCTTTATCAGATATATGTTTTGCAAATATTTTCTCTCAGTCTGTAGCTTGTGTTTTCATTTTCATATTAGTGCCTTTCAAAGAGTAGACATTTAAAATGTTGGTGAAGTCCAATGTATCAATTTTTTTCCTTTACGACTCATGCATTTTATGTCCTATTTAAGAAAATTTTTGCTTAACCCAAGGTTAGAAAAAGTTTCTTCCAAGTTTTCTTTCTGAAGTTTGAAAGTTTTAGTCTTCCATTTAGCTCTACGATCCATGTCGAGTTAATTTTTTTTTTTTTTTGGAGACGGAGTCTCGCTCTGTCGCCTAGGCTGGAGTGCAGTGGCGCGATCTCGGCTCACTGCAACATCTGCCTTCCCGGTTAAGCAGTTCTCCTCAGCCTCCCAAGTAGCTGGGCTTACAGGCACCTGCCATCATGACCAGCTAATTTTTATATTTTTAGTAGAGACGGGGTTTCACCTTGTTGGCCAGGCTGGTCTCAAACTCCTGGTCTCAAGAGATCCGTCTGCTTCAGCCTCCCAAAGTGCTGGGATTACAGGTGTCAGCAACCACACCCCGCTCAAGTTAATTTTTATCTAGGGTATGAGGTAAGAATTAAAATATTGAAAAAGTTCTTTTTGGTAATGTCTTTAACTGGTTTTGGTATCAGGGTAATTCTGGCCTCATCAAATGTGTTAGCATTGTGCCAGGCACTGTAGAGAATATAAAAGTCAGATCTAATCCCTGCTGGACTCTCTCTCTCGCTCTCACACACATCCCCCAAGTATGATGAAGGCAGAGTTTGGTGAGCATAGAAGAGAAGTGCATATGAACTGCTATGGGCTTTCAAAGAAGGGTGAAGGCCTGGGAAGCCTCAGAATCATCTTCATGAAGGAGGGACACTCAGGAAGGGCCTTAGGAGGGCTGCACCATTGCCTCACTCTGGGGGCACCATTCAAATGACAGTCAGTTGAGTGATCCAGGGCCACGTCGCCTGCAACATGGAGGGTACCCGTCTGGAGTTTTTAAAAAAAGTGGCCCTGCTAAACAAGAAAAGGTCTACTAGCTGAGAGACTATCAGCCGGTAGAGATGGGGAAAGGTGGGTGGGGTGGACAAGAAACCATGTACTGGGCGAGAGAGAATTCTATTAAAGTATGCCTTTGCCTCGCCAACCTCTGAATTAAACTCCCATTGTTCTGCATCCTTCCCACACTGATTATGGTGCCGGAGGGCCCTGGAGAGGAAGGTGGGAAGGAGGGGGACCAGCCGTCATGGAGCCCCTCATCTCTGTGCTCGAGCCCCAGCATCCATCATCTCATTTAGTCCTCTCACCAACTCTGTAAGAGCAGCTTCATTATTTGCATTTTTGCAGATTAAAAAATGAGATTCATAAAGGTTAAGTGCCCTGCCTGGGGTCAGCCGCTAGTGAGCAGGGGAGCCTAGTTGCAGTCCAGCCCCCTGGCTGCCTTTGGCCCCTGCAACACTATCTCTCACTGCTCTGACAAAATGTCATTTCTGAGGAAGGCAGGCACACAGACCCAAAAGGAATGGGTGCCGGGGGGGAGGCCAGGATGAGATATTTGTGAGTGGGTTTGTTCTGATGTAGCAAAAACTCTCTCGTTGCTGTGGGCTGGGAAGTGGCTGACTGGCTGCGTGGTCAGAGTTTGCAAAGCTTTTGCAGATCCTTTTGCTAGAGGGGCTTTAAAAGCTGCAAGCGCTCAGCAGTTCCTATCAGCTGGGATTTTTTTCCTCCAGATTGAATCCTGTCAGGGTTTTACTGGCTCATCTGTTCCCAGAATGACACCATGTCCCCTCACCTGAGCAGCACGGCCTTGCCACCCACGGTACTCCCTGCTACCAGACGGCTCCCGGAAGGAATTCTTCACCAGCCCTATTTTTTGTCCCCTGAACCCCTCTCCTGACTCTCTCAAAACCCTCTGGTTTCTCCCAGAATTTGGAGCCAAGCCCATCAGGGACAAAGGAATGCTGGGACCTTGTTTGGATCTCAGATTTGGTGGTTTGCTCCCCTTCCTGGTGTCATGGTTTGAAGCATTTTCGAAGGAGCCCCCGAAAAGCAAGGACAGTGTGGAGAGGCTGATGCCCAGAGGCGATGCGGTGTGTCTGGGAAACCAGAGGGGACCCTGCCTGCAAGTTCCCATTGCCCCCAACCCCATTCCTATCCCTATGAGCCCCTGGCCCTTCTTCGCCAGTGCCTGTATCCTCAGAGCCCTCTCAGGGAGCCTCACCCGCCAGCCTCTGGGCGTTTGGCTTCCCGTCTTTTGTTTGGTCACCATGGGCCCTGCCACTGCCAACTCAGGCAAACAGAGCTTGGGCCAGCCCTGGGCTGCCCAGCCTCCCGGACGCATTGCACACTGCTCTGTGTCAGCAGAAAAAGTGTACATGACAAGTGGCATACTAGAGCGCCCTCTCCCCCCAGGCCTAGCTACAAAGCCTCCATGCCCTGCTGAGCCCTGCCCACCGGGCCCAGCGTACTCTCCGTACTCTCCGCTCCGCCAGCAGTGTTTCAGGAATCCTGAGGTGCAGCTCAGGTGGCTCTCGGTGACGTCATGGGAAGTGTTCTGGGTCGGTTCCCTTTGCCTCCCTGCCTCCACCTCCTTCCCAGACTTGCCGAGGATGTTGCCTCCAAGCCCCTCCCAGCTCCCAAAATACCAACCCTGCCTCCTGGCCCTGCCAGAAAACGCTTAGCACATTAGCGGGTTTAGCTGCCACAGTGGCAGTCAGTTGGGAGGCTGCAGAGGCACATAGATTTCATTCTGGAATTCTTTCCAGCTCCTCGCTATTTTGACAACACTGGGCAATGCTGTTACCAGGAACCTGCCCTGCCTGTGGGATGGGAGAGGCTGGGGGCCGGGGGTGGGGATGGGAAAAAGGTAAGCGGGGCTGGTGGGAGCAGCCTCAGGGTAAGGGACTATGAGAGAAGGTGGGGGACTACACTGGTATCTCATGGTGCTGCAGCCACTTTGGTCTTTAACTTGGTCTTTAACATGGCTGGCCTCCCTCCTTGCCTCCTGGAGCTCACTTGGGGCAGATCTTAGATACAAGAGACCTCAGTGCAGGGGCTTCTGTTTGAAGGAGGCAAGAGGTTCCAAGACGGCAGGAGAGGCAGCAAGACAGGCTGAAAGAAAACAGCCACACCAATGTTGTCTTGGACTCAAGACTTTACTGCAGCTCCCTCTCTGCCGCTCCAGGGCTGGGTGCCCTGGAGCAAGCCACCAACTCTCCAAAACTCAGTGTTCTCATCTGCAGAATGGGAGTAACCTACAGCTTGCCCTTCCCATCTCAATGTGAGATGGGGGGATCTACAAGAGACAATATATGTGAAAGTGTTTTGCAAAGTGTAAAGTGACTAACATTTGTGTGCCTAGGAGCTCTGGAAGGCAGGGCCTATGTCTTGTTTATATTTGAATTCCTCTATCATGTCTGGTTTATTGGGTAGAAAAATAAATGTGGAGACTTTTTGGAAATTTCTGACTTGCCTCATTGGTGATCGGTGTGGTGAAGGATAGTAAGGTTCTGGGTGTATTAGTTTGTTAGGGTGGCTGTAAGTGCCACAGACTGGGTAACTTCACAGAAATTTATTTTATCATAGTCTGGAGGCTAAAAGTCCAAGATCAAGGTGTTGGCAAGGTTGGTTCCTTCTGAGGGCTGTGAGGAAGAATCTGTTCCAGGCCTCTCTGCTGGCTTCTGGGGCTTGGCTGGCAGTCTTATCTTTGGCATTCCTTGCTTTGTAGGCACATCACCCCAATCTCTTCCTTCATGGGGCAAACTTCCCTTTTTTATAAGGACACTAATTGATATGATTTGAATGTTTGTCCCCTGCAAAGCTCATGCTGAAATGTGATTCCCAATGTTGGAGGTGAGGCCTGGTGGGAGATTATTAGACCATGAGGGTGGATCTCTCACGAATGGCTTAGCACCGTCCACTTGGTGATGAGTGAAGTCTCACCCAGTTAGTTCACACAAGATCTGGTTGTTTGAAAGTCTGGGACTTCCCACCCTTGCTGCCTTGGTCTTGCTCTCACCATGTGACACGCCTGCTCTCCTTTTCACCTTCCGCCATGATTGTAGCTTCCTGAAGCCTCACCAGAAGCAGATGCCGGCACCGTGGTTGCTCTACAGCCTGCAGAACTGTGAAATATACCTCTTTTCTTTACAAATTACCAAGTCTTAGGCATTCCTTTATAGTAATACAAATGGACTAACTCACTAGTCCTGTAAGATTAGGGCTCACTCTATTCCAGTGTGACTTCATCTTGACTAACTATATCTGCAATGATTCTGTTTCCAGCAATGACAGTCTGGGGTCTTCTGAGCCCAGGGCCCAGCTCCAGGATCGGGAAGGTCAAGGCAGTGTGCCAGGCCTGGCTGAGAATAGAGAGTTCTTCTGATGAAACGTGATGTGGGTGCTTGCTGGGTGGGGGACCCTATTTTCTACTGCCATTCTTGGATTTGGAGGCAGATCTTTGTTTCTTAGAGTTATTCTTTTCCCTTTCTGAGTAGTTCCTGTGAAGTAGAGTCATGCCATTTGTGTGTGAGACCCAGCTGCTGCACCAGTTCTAACTCTTCACCCCCTTCTTTTTCATGCCCCTCTTTCCCTTCAAGTCACTAACCCCACACACGCCCACCTTCCTCTGCAGCCCGGAAGCTCGGTACACATTTGCTGACGTATTAGAACACACCCTGGCATGAATGTGATTCACATTCTCCGCCCGTCTCTTCCTTCCTCTGTGTCCTGGACCGCAGGCCCTTGCAGTGCATATCTCTGACAGGGGAACCCCCACTATAGGTGTGCTCCCATTTAGCCTGGGTTCAGGCACATCAATGAGCATGTTCTGAGTTGGAGGGATGGGGCGGGTATGTTGCTGGACCACAGCACTGGGATGTTGTGGGAGGGCACGGAGGTGTCTCAGCACTCCGCTGCCCTCTGTATCTGAGGCTTCATTGCCCTTATTCGCATCTTCCCTATGAAATGCTCCAGTTTAGTAAGGGATTGCTATGGAAGAAGGCATTTGTACAAGTCACCCCTGAATAGTAAGAGGGGATCTTCTCTTATAGATTCTCAACATGTACAGGCACAGTGCTAAGTGCTTTCCATCCTTTTTCTCATGTATTTCTCTAAATAACCCCAAGAAGCAGACGCTTTTATATCCCCATTTCTCAGATGGGCAGTTGAGGGTTTGAAAGGAGATGTAAACTGCCCAGAGTCATTCAGCTAGTGAGGGGACTCAAGCACTTGCTTCTAGAACCTCTAGTTCCACCCTCTCATCCACAGGGCGCTCAAGGGGTGGTCAGTGGCCGTTTGCATTGGTATTCCCTGGAGAGCTAAGTGAAAAGTTGGGTTCTTGGGTCTCCTCCTGATCTATGGAATCATAAGAGATTGGGGTGGGACCCAGGAACCAGCTCCCAGTGACAAGCAGGGCTGAGAATCACTGCCTGTGGAGCCCAGTGCCACCTTCCCTTTCTCTTCCACCAGGCGCCGAGGACCTGCCATCAGCCACATGCAGGGTTCTGAAAGGAAGGGCAGGTGTGACCAGGCCTCCCCATGCACTTCTTTCCTCCCTGGTGTAGTGGCCTCAGGAGTGCTGGTGGATGGGGAGCCATCATGCCTGCACATAAGTTGGGAGAGGGTGGCTTGTGTGGCCGTGCTGACCTGCCGACTTCTCACTCTTTCTGGTAACCCCCATGCCCTTCACCGGTGCCATGTTCCCCAAGGTCCTAGATGATGGAGGGACCAGGCCTGGTGTTGGCAGGCAGTGGCCAGGGCCAGGCAGCCCAAGCCCTGTGTGACGATGATGTGGGAGTGTCTGTCTGTGTTGCTGTAATGGAATACCAGGAACTGGATCATTTATAAAGAAAAGAGATTTATTTAGCTTATGGTTCTGCAGGCTGAGAAGTTCAAGGGCATGGCCCTGTCCTCTGGCGAGGGCTTTCCTTCTGCATCACAACATGGCAGGGAAGGTCAAAGGGAAAGTAGACACGTGTGAAGATGGGGAAACCCAAGGGGGCCCTGGTGTTTTAACAACCAACTCTCCAGGGAACTAATTCATTCCTGTGAGAACAAATCCAGTCTTATGAGAGTATGAATATTAGAGCTACAAGGCACTGCCAAGTTAATCTTGTCTAGAGGGCCAGATGAGCAAACAGAGGCTCAGAGAGGTAAAATCACTTGCCTGGGTTCGCACAGCAGGTAGGTAGTATGGTTGGAGCTAGAACCCAAATTAGTAGGATTGCTCCTAGACTCCTAAGAATGCCAAAATCCAAACCATAGCTTCTGAAAACAGATGTCCTTACATGCCCGGAGACCTTTGGCTGGTTTCCTGGTAGAAGAAGCTGTTCAGACCCCTCTCTCTTTCCGGTTCCCTGCTGCTTTGTGCTACTGGAGGGAAGCAACAAGCTGGTTTTTCTCCTCCCAGAATAGGAGGCATCCCTGAAAATGTTGGCCTGGATTTCCAGGCTGACTTTCTAAACACTACCTCATCCTAAGAGTAAATGGCGAACTATTTTCACACACTATTAAAATTTTAATTTGGAAGACTCCTGTCCTTGGAATGCAAAGTTCGCCAGGCATTTTACGTCCTGCAAGCTGAGGTAGTTACTAGAACCTTCTTGCGGGTCCTGCTTGTAAGTCCCACTTGTAGTATTACACCAAGGACTGGTGGGATTTGGACAGCAAAGTGACTCTTACTATTTGAGTTCGAAATGTCCTGCTTGTTTTAAAATGTTCACTCAGTTAAGGTTTCTTCTTCTTCCCTGTCCCTGCTCCCACTCCTTCAGAGCAGGATGTTTGGATGCTGTAGTGGGAGCTGGTGGTGAAAAATTAAAGTTATTAATGTGACCATCCATCAGATGGTCCTACATTTCACCTCGGTTCTGCTGGTCTCCAGCCCTGACCCTTACTCCATTTCTCTCTTCCTGCTTCCAGACCTCCAGTCCATCTTTGATCCTTCCCTTTCCTAGTTCTCAGTCCATCCCTGACCTCTACCCCATTCCTAACTCCCACCTTATCCTTACCCCATCTCTGAGCTTATCTTTTCCCATCCATCAGGTCAGGCTGGGGGTGACCCTCAGGGAGGGAGGGAGGGCATTTGTTTCTCACATTACTTGTTGTTGTTGTTGTTGTTGTTTTAGAGACAGGTTCTTGCTCTGTCGCCCAGGCTGGAATGCAGTGGCGTGATCATAACTCACTGCAGCCTCCAACTCCAGGGCTCAAGTGATCTTCCTGCCTCAGCCTCCTGAGTAGCTAGGACTATGTATGTGCCACCAAGCCTGGCTAATTTTTAAATTTGTTGTAGAGATGGGGTCTTCCTATGTTGACCAGGCTGGTCTTGGTCAACAAAGCAAAACCCTGTCTCTTGGCGGTACCTTGTAGCTCTAATATTCATACTCTTGTAAGACTGGATTTGTTCTGGCAGGAATGGATTAGTTCACTGGAGAGTTGGTTGTTAAAAACTGGCCTCAAGAGATCCTCCTATCATCCTCTAGCCTTGGCCTCCCCAAGTTCTGGGATTACAGGCGTGAGCCAACTGTACCCAGCTTACCTGGTATTTTTTTAAAAACTGAAAGTTTAGTGGTTTGTTTTTTAGGTGTTGTCAAAGGGCCCTCTGTCAAAACTAGCCGAGTCAAAGGGGCAGTATCAGAGTTATGCTGGAGTCAGTATCATCACAGGCCTTTAACCTGTCAATAATAGTAATAATAATAATAATGTATTTATTGAGCCTCTGCCACATATTAAACAGTGCTAGGCACATTTCCTAGTGTTAATTCATCAAATCTTCACAATAATCCTAAGAAATAGGTGCTTCAATTCTCATTTTATTGATGGGAAAACAGAAACAAATATTTTAAGGAGTTTGCCCAAGGGCATAAGTAAGACATTACAGAATTACTAAGCGACACAAGCTTATTTAGTTTGTGTCCTGAATAGGTGAAATGTTTGCTTCAAGGTCCCTAGATATCTACCCTGTGGGCCTGCTTTGAGGTTTCAGGGTGGACTGGTGGTGGGCTCTGCAGTACCCAAGGTGAGAGAAAACTCACCTCCCTGACCCTGCGGGGTAGGGCAGCCCTCTCCAGGGCCATGCTAGAAATAAACCCAGGAACAGTTTTCAAATGGGCAGACTCTCCTGGGGAATGGAGGGGGCAGAGATGAGGTTTCCAGGATCAGGTAAACAATTGGTGCTGAATTACTCCCTGATCTTGCTGCATTTCAACAAATATTTAAGCACCGAGTAATATGGAGTCTACAAAGAGATCAGTCCGTTGGAAGCCCTCCAGGAGCCCACCACTTAGAAGAGACCGACAAAATGAACTCTGCTGTAAGGTAGGCAAGCGAAGTGCGAAGGGAGAGTGGGCAGGGAGGGGAGAACTAGGGGTGGGAAGGACATAAAAAAGCATGTCGAATTCCAGGAGCACTTGGTTGCACTTCCATTAGAGGTTTTCCACATTTTCAGGATAGTGTTGGTTGCAAGAATAGGTTCTTTCGCCCAGTGCGGGTGGGGAAAAAAGGATTACGATATAAAGTGTTTTGCAAAGTTTGCAGAGTTGAATTTTGTTATTACAAGAGGTAATGAGTGTGGAGGTGCTTTGAGTCTTTGAAAGCCCTTTGCTGATGTGAGAGTTGGAGCCATAAGAGCGGAGTGTGGAGAGATGAGCAGAGGACTAAGGACTGGGTCTTATTGCCAAATCCCCACTGCCTAGCAGGGGCTCAGGGAACTTTTGGGGAGGAACTAAATGAATGAGTAGAATCAAGGCTCTGAGTGTTTCAAGGAGCGCATGGCTAATACTGTCATACGTTGGTTGAGCAGCAGGACCACCCACGGGTGGCCACTGGATTTGGCAAGAAGGAAGAAATTAGTCCCTATGAAAAAGTAGCATCTGAGGAAGGATGGCTAAGAGCTGAGGGGAACGGGTAGAGGGGAGGATCATGTATTTGAGGAGCTTTTCAGTAAACGTTAAGGAATGGAGTTAGACATTGCTAGATAGGCCCTTTGATGATTTAAAGGAATTGTCTCGAAGACCCTCTGTTATGTTTCACCAGGAAGGTGAAGGGAAAGGAGGCCAAGGAGTTTCAAGGCTGAAGGTGCCTGAGAATGAAGGAAGAAGCCCTGACTGGATCCCAGAAGAGGTGGAACCCATGGGACCACAATTCAAGAGGAAGGTCCCCATTAGAGAGAGCCCTCAGAAACTAGAGATGTGCTAGGAAACACCCATCCTACTTTTCACACCTTTGTTATTTTATTTATTTATTTTTGAGACAGAGTCTTGCTCTGTCACCCAGGTAGAGTGCAGTGGCACAATCTCAACTCACTGCAACCTCCGCCTCCCAGGTTCAAGCGATTCTAATACCCAGGCCTCCCAAGTAGCTGAGATTACAGGCGCCCATTACAATGTCCAACTAATTTTTGTATTTTTAGTAGAGACGGGATTTCACCTTGTTGGCCAGGCTGGTCTTGAACTCCTGACCTGAAGTGATCTGCCCACCTCGGCCTCCCAAAGTGCTGGAATTACAGGTGTGAGCCACCGCGCCTGGCCATACTCTTGCTCTGACCCTGTGCGTGCATGGCATGCTGTGACTGTTCCATTTGCCCTGGGGGTTTGGGCTTCCATGCAGTTTTTTTTTTTTTGGAGGTAGAGTTTCACTCTTGTTGCCCAGGCTGGAGTGCAATGGCGTGATCTCAGATCACCGCAACCTCTGCTTCCTGGGTTCAAGTGATTCTCCTACCTCAGCCTCCTGAGTAGCTGGGATTACAGTTACCTGCCACCATGCCCGGCTAATTTTGTATTTTTAGTAGAGACAGGGTTTCTCCATGTTGGTCAGGCTGGTCTCAAACTCCCGACCTCAGGTGATCTGCCCACCTCGCCCTCCCAAAGTGCTGGGATTACAGGTGTGAGCCACTGTGCCCAGCCTTCTGTGCAGTTTTAGAAGCTGCAGGTTTCCCCCTTCTTCAGTCATGGCCTGTATAGGCAGGTCCTGTGGGAGGCTGGGGCTGCACCTTGTATTTAGAAGTGTGTGTGTGTCTGTGTGTTTGTGTGTGTGTGTGTGTCCAGGGCTGTGGGACTCCCTCGTTTTACACAGTAGGAAGCTGAAGCTCCGAGAGGAAAGTGACTACTGCTTTGTTTTTTCCTTCTGTTGCTAGCTTGATGCCTAGCATGTGGCAGATAGGGAACACATACCTCTTGAATAAATCAAGGAAACAGCTAGTTAGTGGCTGTGATATAAGAATTCAGATATTCTGATTTCTTGTCTCTGTCTTCCATGACACCTCCCAGGACTCAGCCTATTTTATACCAACGTCCCTGGAAAGTAGTTTCACAGGAGTAGTGAGAAGGAATCTCTATTAATGAAATGATTTCACTCAGTTGAATCAGATTCAACTACCTTTGAGGGCTCTATGTGTCATACCCTAGCAGTGGCACTTTCTCGTGCTCACGACCTCCTCTACTTTCTGCCTCCTTATTGGGAAAAAAAACAAAAACACAAACAAACCCAACCTCTCAGCCCCTTCCCCCAATACTCTATCAATTCCATGAAAGAAGGCCTTGTGCTTAAATAATCATGTGAAAAGGAAAAAATCCCACCCTCATATGAATGTGAAAGGGCACTGGCTTAGGCAGCTTTCAGTCTTTATCTGCGTTAGAGATTTTGTGGATTGTTGTTGTTTTTGTTGTTGTTTGCTCCTGGTGGGGTGGTATCCAGTATTCCAGTGTTCACATAATGCCTTGACTTCGCCATCGCTTCTCCTAGGATAATTATAGGTTGGCATAATGTACCTATTGTTCTATTCCACAAAGAAGCACTGTCACAGGATGATGGGATGGGGCTGGCAGGAGGCACGCAGTGTGGATCTGGAAGGGGGGAATCTTTGTCTGCGTGTGTGTGTGTGTGTGTGTGTGTGTGTGTGTGTGTGTGTGTGTCCTGGAAAGCAGTGCTGGATCTTGAGTTATTTTTCCTATTCTGTTCTTTGGATTCCTACCCACTCATCCCTTATTTCCCCAGTCATTTGGTCCTCATTGTCCTCTCCAAGTTCTTGTTTCTTGGCGTCTCTGCACCCTTCCCTTCTGGGGTTATCACCATGACTGGGCATGGTGGCTTCAACCATAGATGCTGAGCTAGGGTGTTGGAGGTAGCGTTTAAAATTCTTTCAGTGAAGTTATTTGCCTGTGTATGACAGGCTCAAGGGCTCACCACATTGCCAATGACCTCACAGGCCATCCAGGCCTAGCCCTTTCACTGCACATGTTTGTGTTTCTTATTTGAGTTGTTCAGAGCCTTTTGCGTTACAAAGCTCTTGACACTTTCTGGGACATATTGGAGAATGTAGGCATTCATTCATGTGTTCACGCATTCATTCAGTCTTCCTACGATCATCGGATGCTCACTCTGAGGCTAGTCCTGGACTAGATGGACTAGTCCATAGAGATGAGGAAAACAAAAGACAGCATTCATACCCTTGTGGAGCTTCCACTCCAGTTGCCCACCTAGGCAGGTCAAAGATCTTCAAGTACTGTTTTGTCCATGTGACCTCTATGGGATCCAGGCTGGGTGACACGTTGGGCTTGTGTCTTGTATCTAAAAATCAGAACTAGGTTTTCATGGCCCATTGCCAGCCATCACCAGGCAACAACCTCTTTTTTTGTAGTGAGATTTCCCTTGGAGTGTTTTGTGGTAATATCTGTTTCTTGTTTCTCCCTCTCCCCAGACTCTTCTGCACTGGGGCTGATAGTCACGCTTAGACATGTTTTTGACTCCAGCCATAAGCAGCTTTTTTGACTAAGAACCATTGGCGTCTGAATGGGATGACTACCTCCATGCCTATTGGCCTTGGAAGCCACGGTCTTCACACTTCACCCTGAGAGAGAGGCAGTGGCAGGTTTCATTTGAAGCCAGGGGACAGAAAGGCCACTGGATGAGATTCTATGGACACAAACTTAGGAAGAGAGGAGGACTTTTCTATCCTTGGAAGGGGCCTGCTTCAGTTGTGCTGCCTAGGAAGGCACATGTTATACTAAAATATTATTTGTTCTCCATCTGACACTTGCATTTAACTGGGAGTCCTGTATTTTATCTGTCAATGTGACAAGGGGCGGGTAGGTGGAGAGGTGGGCACAGGTGGAGAGGTAGGCAGTGGGGCAGGGGCCCTGGACCTCCATGGGGGTGATGATGGCAGGATGTGGTCATTGAAGTGCTGAGGTTCTGAAGGGTGGCGTGATAGCTGCCCATGTCCAGGCTATCACATCGAGACAGGCTAGAAGGGAGATCAAAGATCTCTGCCATTCATGGTCTTTGGAGAATTCACCGTGAGGAATAGCACTCACATGAGCTAAGGGAAAAGAACAGTCTTTAGCCTTGCTTCCCATCCACTTTGTATCTGAAAATATACAAATGTATTCCCTTTGTGTATATTTAAAAAAGAATCCAAATTCTTTTCTCCTGGTAAGTTAAAACAAACATTTCCAGGGCTGGAAATCCATGTACTCAGGAACTATCAAAAATGTGTCAGTTCTGGGCTGTTGGGGGCATGTGCCTTGAGGTATGTGCTCACAGGAGGGGCTGGGGGCTCAGAAGCTTTGCTCCCACTCCCAGGAGCTAATTTTGAGCTTTGATATCTATGTGACTCTCAAGAGCATGCATGTGGGACCTGGCAGGCCCTTGGAGATTAGCCAGTCTGAGAGACAGGGACTCACAGCACTTAGGAGCTGTGTGAAGGGTTCTCTCTTGACAGATGAGCAAACTGGAGCCCAAAACACTTAGCGATGGGCTTCAGGGCCCCCGAGGCAACAGAACAGGGTGAGAACATGGGTCTCCTGACTCCAGGTTGTGTACAGTTCGCCATGACTCTGCACTCGCTGGTCCTGTGGCCTCTCTCAAATATAAGCATGTTGAGGGCAGAAACCAGGAGTCCCATTTGTCTCGTAGTGTTCAGGTGGTGGGGGTAGGGGGAGCTGTGATGGCCCTGCACACCCAGCTGTCCCTGTGTGAGCATTTGCTTGCTCTTGTCACTCACATGGTGCCACTTGTTGGTGCCACTCTCTTTGCTACTCAGCAGGAATTTGTTTTCCATGGCTTATCCCATGCCTTTGTTTTCTTGGCTCTGAGTCACCCCAAAGGTGGATGCCTGGCAGGGGTGGTATCAATCCCCAAGGATAAGTCCCTAAGAATCTAGTTCTTCCTACCTCTTGGCAGCTAGCCTTCTTTGATGTCCTTGGGGTGTTTTATGTGAAACTCTATTTTCTCCTACTGTCCTACACCTTCAGTCCCTGGCTGTAAGAGACATGAGATGAAAGGTCCTCCCGTGTTGTGTCTTGTGCCTTGTGTTCAGGACAGCATATCCAAGTGTGTATGGGCCTTGTCCAGGCACCATTTAGTATGGGGCTATTTTCCTGATCTGTCGCCACTGGACACCCATATCCTGAGCAAAGTGAGAGCTGAACCCACCTGGCTACAGTGTCACTCCTTGGCAGTCCCTGGAAGAATTCTTCCACTCAGAACTTTGTGATGACTTCACAAAGACAACAAAAGGAGGAAAGTGATTCATAGGGGCATGAACGATATGCAGTTTTCTAAGCAATTGCCTGAACTGTGAGCATATAAACCATGGTGAAGAGTGCACAGTGTGGTTCTGTATGACTCACCAGTTACCTCCTTGAGGTCATGATGATGCCTTCAGCCAGGTGGCTGAGGGACAGGCCTTGTCCTGGCTCGGACTCTGGTCTCTATTGCTGCTATGTTTTTATTTTTTTCTCAGTTCTTTGAGCCACTTAGTGTCCCTCACCAGCCATCCTGGGGTCCTCACATCCTTGTTTCAAGACCAGAGCCTCACGGATACATTTGTGGATATTGGCCTGCAATTCTTCCATGTCCAGACACCAAAACCCAGTGCCTGCATCCTCTGTAGCTTCTTCTGTTTCTGTGGCTGCCTGCCCAGATCCAAGTAGATGCTGGGGATTGAGCGAGACTGCCTTTTAGGGCCAGCTTTTCACAGCTACCTGTGAATGCCAGGACTGGCTTCTCTTTGTACTGCACTATTGGTAAGGTGGTGTTAACCACTGTGGCTTGAGAGGGAGGAGCACAACTACAGGGTGAGTGCTACCCAGAGAGTCATCTCCCGTTATTCCAGACACCCAAAACCATACAGAAGTAAGCCTATAGTTATCTCCTTTCCTATATTGTCAGATGGCCCCCTGACTGCAGTGGGCTGCCGTTTTAATTCTTTAGTTGTATCATGCCTATTTGTGTGTAGGTTCAACTTGCAACTACATAACTGCTTGCTTGTCTGCCTATCCATCTATGCATCCATCCCTGCATCCACCCATGCATCCACTCATGCATCCACCCATGCACCCATCCATGCATCCACCCATGCATCTATCCATCCATCCATTCCTCCATGCATCCGTCCATTCATGCATCCATCCATGCATCCGTTCATCCATGCATCCATCCATGCATCCATCTGTGCATCCATGCATCCATCTGTGCATGCATGCATTCATTCATGCACACATCCATCCATCCATGCATGCATGCATCCATGCATCCATACATCCATCTGTGCATCCATCCATCCATGCAACCATCCATCCATCCATGCATCCATCCATCCATCCAAGCATCCATGCATCCATGTGTCCATCCATCCATCCATGCATCCATGCATCCATCCATGTGTCCGTCCATCCATCCATCCATCCATCCATCCATCCATCCATCCATCCATTTATCTATTTATCCATCTAATAAGGGATGGTAAACTTATGTATTTAAAGGGACCAGGCAGGTAAAGTAAATGAGGAAATGGGCTTGACAAAGACAATAAGGAGTGGTGGGGGCCGTGGTGAGCTGCCATCTGTAGCATTCCCTGGCTAGAATTTCCTTTCAGGTTTGATGTGTGGCATCTGACAGCCACAGTGAACCATCCTTATTTCAAAAGCATTTGAGTTCAAGCAGCCTAGAGGTATTTGGATGGGGCCCCTGGGTTCTTCCTCAGCCTTATTAGAGTCTGTTGGTAACATCAAATGGTGGGATGTGCATCAGGCAGGGCTTTTTAAGGTTGCAAATGGCAAGAAACTCAACTCATAGTGCTTAAGCACACAGAGGAATGTGTGGGCTCATGTAACTAACAGCTCGTGAGTGTATCTTCTTCACTCGTGACTCGGTCTAGGGGCTCAGCAAGGTCCTCTTGACTCCCTCCATCTCTCCTTCATCTCTAAACTCCACTTTTCTTTACATTGGCATCCTTTGTAAACAGGCCTGCTTGATGGGTGGCTCCCAGCTGCTTCAGGTATATATTGTTATCTGCCTTTCCATACTAAGAGAAAGAAAGTGCCTCTTTCCCCCAGAAGTTCCAGGATTGACTCTAATTTGCCTGCCTCAGACCACATTTTCACCCTTGAACTGATCACTCTTGAACGGATCACTAAGGGATGTGGGTCTCTTTCTCATATATATATATATACATATATGATCTTGCTCTGTTGCCCAGGTTGGAGTGCTGTGGTGCAATCGTGGCTCACTGGGCTCAAGCGATCCTCTTACCTCAGCCTCTAGAGTAGCTGGGACTACAGGTGTGCATCACCATGCCTGGCCAATTTTTGTAGAGACAAGGTCTCACTATGTTACCCAGGCTGGTCTTGAACTCCTGGCCTCAAATAATCCTCCTTCCTCAGCCTCCCAAAGTGCTAGGATTATAGGTGTGAGTCACCATGGCTGGCTAGAACATGGCCGGTTTTCTTATTGGCCAGGCCTAGTCACAAGCCTGTCTCTGAAGTTGGAGGGTAGAGTGGGGTTGATTTTACACAACTGATAGTGAGGGAGAGGTAGAAAATGGAGGTATTGTTACTAGAAGGAGGTAGAATGGTATCTGGGCAGGCAGACAACCTATGTCCACCATAGGGAGGATGGGTTGATGGAAGGATGGAGGTATTACAATTGCACTGTCAAGGAAGACCCAGAGCCCTGAGCACGGCCAGTGTTGCCCATCCATTCAGCCCCACCTGCCCAGTGGTTTGAGTTGCTGTCCCTGATGTCTTCTGTCCAGCCCCATCATTCATGGGATGGGGAGAATGCACTGCCTCAGGACACAGGCTACCTTCTGCTGCCTCCTGCACACTCCTGAGATGCTTGGGTATGAGGACACCTGATGTTTACTCCAGAACTGTGACTTCCAAAGGTTTCGGGAGCTTTAGGAGAGGGCAGTAAGCCCTGATATGCCTGGAGCACCTTGTGAACTTCCAACCTGGTTCTGCCATTGTGGAAGGAGTTGCCAAGATGAAGGATTTCCATTTAGCAGTGCCAGACCTGGGCTCGGAGCTCAGCTACACTGATCTCAAGACTTGGCCCAAGGCAGGAACTGAGGTTGTGGAAGAGCCATACTTGGAGTGTGGAGCTTCTGACTTCCCATACTGGGCAGAAGTCTCTGGAAAGGGAAAGGGATCTGGCTGCATCCTTAGCAGCTGGCAGCCCCTGCTGCAGCCAACTAGGGACCCCGAGTTCTCCATGGGAACTCTGGAGCTAGAGGATACATCTTGCAGGTATCATGTCTGACCTTGGTCACATGTAATCCTCAGTGCCAGAAATACCAGCTCTCTTTGGATTGAGCAATAGTTTTCTCCACTATCAAGGATAATTTTAACCATTTCCTATCTTGGTTTCATACATGTATGTATGTATGTATGTTGAAAATATGGCTACTGGGATACAGAATATTAAAAGGAAGACAGCAAAAGGATAAATGGGGCTCTTAAGAGGATATATTATAAAAACACTAGAAACCATCAAAAAGTAAAGTTCTGCTTATAGAGGAAGTAGAATCTTTTTTTTTTTTTTTTTTTTTTTTTTTTTGAGATGAAGGCTAGCTCTGTCTTCCCTGGCTAGAGTGCCGTGGTGCGATCCTGGCTCACTGCAACCTCCACCTCCCGGGTTCAATCAATTCTCCTGCCTCAGCCTCCTGAGTAGCTGGGATTACAGGCGCCTGCCACCACACCCAACTACTTTTGTATTTTTGGTGGAGACAGGGTTTCACCGTTTTAGCCAGGCTGGTCTTGAACTCCCGACCTCAGGTGATCCACCCACCTCAGACTCCCAAAGTGCTGGGATTACAGGCAAGAGCCACTGAGCCTGGCTGGAAGTAGAATCATTGACGGTAAAAAGTGCTCAGAGCCTTCCCATGCTGTCTTATTTGCTACAACAACCCTGTGAGGTTGACAGGGAAGGGTAATTTTTTAATATCTATTTTATAGACGTAGAAATGGTAATTAAGAGAATTAGCAAGGTCTCCCAGTTATTGGGAGAGTTGAGTCTAGAACTCGGATCTCTAAGCAACCAGTCTAGTTTTCGATCACCACATCCTACGTTGTATGTTCATGTGAAACTTTCTTTTCTATTTGACTAAACTTTGTGGAAAAGGATGTTGGCTAGGAAGAAAAAAGAAAATGGATTTTAAAATTAGGTAGCAGCCAACCCCATTTAAAAATATTCTTTAAGCTGAAGTATCTCAATAGAATTATGCGATCTTACATGATTTCAGTTTTCCAGCATATGACATTTATTTATTCACAGCTGTATTGATATATCAGTTCAATACTTTATTCATGAAGCGTTTACTGTGTAACTATTACATGCCAGGACTTTTATTGGCTGTTGAAGATATAAAGATGAATGAGACATTGACTCCTGCCTCTGTTAGTTTTGCAGCATACCAAAACACCATAAAGCTTAATGGCTTCAAATAGCAACCATTTATTTTGCTTACTATTCCGTGGGTCGGCAATTCGATTTGGGCTCAGCTAGCTGGTTCTTCTGATTTGGGCTGGTTAACCTATGTGTCTGCAGTCAGCTTGTCCTAGATGAATAGCTTCATCTAGGATAGCTTGTTTGTGTTCTGTGTCTGCTCATTCTCCAGCAGGCTAGCCCAAGCGTATTCATATGCTAAGCAACTAGGCAGGGTTCCCGGAGAGCAGAAGGGAAGCTTGCAAGGCCTCTTGAGGCCTGAGCTTGGAACTGGTGTAATCTAACTTCCACTGTATTCTGTTGGCCAAAGCAAGTCAATGAGTGTATCCTAGTAGACCCCTTAGCCACAGGAAGGTAGTTTTACTTAGTCTTCTATCCAGGTGCGATGCTTCGTCCTGTCTTCTTACTGGCTTGGCATTTCTTGTCACTTCCTCATGCCTCGCCTTACCCCATTGGGAAGACCTGCACACTCTCCTTCCTCCTTTTCTCTAAACCTCCCTACCTCTTGGGGTCCATCTTTATAAAATCGTCTGCGGTGATTCCAGACTCAACTATCGACAATGATAGTTGTAGCTTGCATTTACCACTCACAGGGTATTTGAGTTGGGAGTTGAAGATGAAAAAAACTATCCCTGGCCCCAAGAGGTCTACTTTCTAGGAAAATAGGAATAATAAACAGCACCTCATAGAGTTGTTATTAGGATTCAATGAATTAATGCACATACAATGTTTATTGTAGTGTCTGAGACATAGTACATGCTCTAGAAATCCAACATGCCAAAGGTTTTACATGCTATTTAACCCATGCTGTAGTCTTAAGAGGCAGATTTTCCTGTCTCCATTTATTTATTTATTTATTTAGTGATAAATAAATCTCACTCTGTAACCCAGGCTGGAGTGCAGTGGCATGATCTTGGCTTATTGTAACCTCCGCCTCCCGGGCTCAAGTGATTCTTCCACCTCAGCCTCCTGAGTAGCTGGGACCACAGGCCCATGCCACTATGCCTGGCTAATTTTTTGTATTTTTGGTAGAGATGGGGTTCTGCCATGTTGTCCAGGCTGGTCTCAAACTCCTGAGCTCAAGTGATCTGCCTGCCTCCGCCTTCTGGAATTACAGGCATGAGCCACTGCACCTGGCCTCTGCCTCCTTTTATAGATGGGGAAAGGGATGCTCAGATAAGTTACATACTTTCTTAAAGTCACCCAGCTAATTAGCAGATCAAATTCAAGTCTCATATATTCTAATATAGACCCAGTGTATATATATTTTAACTTCACCTGAGAGATTTCAGTAATGGAATCAAATGATTCATGTAAGATAAAGTCTTCGTTCCTTTGGTCCTAGCCTCAGTTTGTACATACACAGAATTGGAAGGCAGAAAGATTTGTGATAGAAATTGTTGACTGTAAGCTATAGCTCAAATTTATCACAACACAATTGAAAATAAAGTGCAATTGTTTATAAGAGAAAGACGTACAAGGGAATGGGGCCTGAGTTTGTGGAAGAGAGAAGTGTGCGGGCTTCACCTTTTCTTCTTCTTTCTGCGGAAAGTAAACTGAGATCCATGGTTCTGGACCATGTCCTGACAGGGAAATTTTGATCATGTCTCTAGATCTTTGGTTGTCTCTGCTGGGGCTCCCTGACGTCAGCATGAAAGGGTCAGTCTGCATTGGCCAAACAGCCCCTCTGATTCCTGGGACTTGACAGGGCCTGGTAGTATTTGCTGATAGCCAAGTACTTCACGTCAAACTGGTTTATTTAGTGACTGGGTCTGATAGAACCAAACTAATAGAATAACAGTACCGAGCAATTTCTTAGTTGCCATTTACTAAGCATTCACTGTGTGCCAGACATGGTGTGAAAGATTCTGCGTGCATTTTGTTCTTTATTCCTTAGGATACATCAACCCTACAATGTTGGGAAAATGGAAGTTCACACAGATGAGCTTCTGGTCTTGAATAGCTTCAGCTGGGACTGGTGGTGAAGCTTAGATTTGAACCCAGAGCGATGTGGTTCCAAATCCTATGCTCTTAGGCACCATCTGCCTTATATATATATATATATATATATTTTTTTTTTTTTTTTTTTGTCAAAAAGAGGACAGCTTCAATATTCCTGGGCTTAGGACATAACTGCGTTTCTTTCAATTCTTCACCATTGCTTTGACGGTATTCAAGTGTACCTTGCAGCAGCAGCAGAACACGCCTTTGGTAGATAGAAGCGTGACCTTACCCCCAAAGATGTCCATGTCCTAATCCTTGGAACCTATGAATATGTTACCTTACATGGTATGAGGGATTTTGCAGGTGTGATTAAGTTAAGGACTTTGAGATGAGGAGATTATCCTGGCTTATGTGGGTGAGTCCAGTGTAATCACAAGGGTCCTTGCAAGAGGGAGACAGGACGGTCAGAGTCAGAGCTGGAGATATGACATTGGAAGTGGAGGTAGAAGTGACACATGGGAGGAAGAGGCCACCAGCTGCTGGAAACTGGAAAAGTCAAGGAAGAAACTGCTCCCTTAGAGCTTCCAAAAGGAATACAGCCCTGCTGATGCCTGGATTTTTAGCCTTAGGACTCGTTTTGGATTTCTGACCTCTAGAACCGTAAAATCGTACATTTGTGTTTTCATAAACTACAAAGTTTGTAGTAATTTGTCTCAGCAGCAATAGAAAACCAACACAGCACCCTTCTACCTGTCCTGTGGAATATCCCAAAGTTCCAACCTGCTAAGGCTCCTCCTCCTTTGTGACCCAGTGCCTTTAAACAAAGGCAATGGATGCCCTTGACCCACTTCTGGGAGGATGTGTGCTGTGAGATAGGTTTCTGCTGCTGGGGATGGTTTGTCACGGAATCATCCCCACACTCTTGGCTGTGCTTCTGACTGCTGACCCCGCTGGCTTGAAGCTGACTGGTGAGATGGTGGTGGTGGGGCAATCTGTAGCAATGGCATTGAGCTATTTTATTTTTTCATGCATTCTGCTTCTGCTCATCTGTGTGGACAGAGAGGCCCCTGGAGTGGATAATACTGCCTGGGAGTTAACTCATGAGCTGGCTTTTTCTGGCACTGGTGGTGGCAATGAGTGGAGGGTAGGACCCCACATTGTGGTAATAACCACTAATATTTACTGATCACCCATAGTGAGGTCACCTCATTTGTTCTTGTCAGTGAAGCCATGAGAAGGGTCTTATTATCATACCCATTTTGCAGCTGAGGGTAGTGAAGCTCACAGAGTTCAACAGCTCAGACAGCAAGTAAGCAAGGAGCTGGGACTCAAACCTGGTGTCCTCATGCCAGTGCCCCAGCCTTTCACTGAAGCGCTTTGCTGCCTCCCACATGGGGCAGCATGGCATGGAATAGGCACTCCATGGATGTTGCCTGACTGGATGAATGTTAATGTTTACTGGCCATTTGGATAGGCCAGGAGCAGCTTCACGAACCTCCATCCAGAAGCAGCAAGGTGGGCTGGAGGGTGGCCAGAGAACCCAGCTGGCCAGCAAGGCATTTTCTCTTGAAGGTGCAAGGATCACATGGAGCTGGCATTGTTATTTGTTATTAGGCTCCCACATCTGGACTGCTGGGCAGGTCCAATGAAAATCACGTTGAATTTGCCAGCATCATCTATGCAAGGGAGCTGCAGGCAAGTGAGAGGTGGGGACGGTGATCTGTCAATGTCTCTCTCTCCCCTGGGGCTTCCCCACCCCATCTTTGGATGCTCTACATGGCCCAGCTGGTGATTCAGGATGGATGTTGGATGCCGGCTTGTTAATTTCCTTTTTTCCTTCCTGGATATGGAAGAGAGATGGAGGTAGAGTGTGAGGATGGAGATAAACTTA